>NC_000022.11:33709564-33861079 GCF_000001405.40 Homo sapiens | reverse complement strand
CTGGGCGATGCCGCTTCGTTACCCACTCTCAGCCTAAGGAAGCGTTGCCCACCCTGAGATTCAGGGTTGAAATCTCTCTAGCGACAGTGCCCAGGAGTGCAGGCTTCACACTCCAAGGACCTTGCTGAGGGTGCATGGATGTACGGGCAAGGGTCGTGGTTGTGGTGGCAGTGCAGTAGGTCATCAGAAAGGCCTCAGGCTGGCTGCGCCCACGGTGTTCCCCGTGCTGACTCCAGCTTGCAGGCAGATGCACCATTCTAGTTGTTGTGGGCAGCTGGAGTGGGGGACTGGCCCAGGAGGGTCAGGGTAGTGGCCTGGTAGTTTGCACGTGTTGGTCTTGCCCCCGCTTTGCCCTGGTGAGCGCTGAAGTCATGTTTGTGTGAGCCAGGCATTCTCCTGATCACGGTTGCACGCCCATCCTCAGAAGAGCCCCCTCTGAGGTGCTGATCCCACCACCACCTTCACAGCTCAGGACGCTGAGTGTCAGAGAGGCTGGGTCGCTTTCCTCAGGCCATGCTTGCTGCTGAGTAGAGAATCCAGTGTGGAGCCAGGACACTGTGACCCTGGAGTTCCCAACCACTAGGATTGCCCCTCCAGGCCCTTAACTTCTCTGGCCACAACTTTATTTCTTATTCCGAAAACAAAGACAGTGGGAGAAACAAATATTTATTTGAACATCTATGGTATGCCAGGTGCTATGGGTTAGACTGTGTACATTATTTTATTTAAGTCTTATTTCAAGCCCTGGGGTTAAGTATCAGCTTCTCGATTTAAAAAAATTCAAAAAAGGCCAGGCATCGTGGCTCACGCCTGTAATCCTAACACTTTGGGAAGCTGAAGCGGTAGGATCACTTGAGTCCGGGAGTTCAAGAGCAGTCTGGGCAACATAGTGAGACCCTGTCTGTACAAAAAAATTTTTTTTTAATTTAAAAAAAAATTTAAAATTTTTTAATTGTAAAATACACATAAGATTGACCATCTTAACTATTTTTGGGTGGACAGTTCAGTAGTGTTAAGTATCTTCACATTGTCGTGCAGCCAATCTCCAGAACTGTTTGGATCTTGCAGAACTGAAATTGTGCATCCTTTGAACAAGAACTCCCTATTTTCCCCTCCTCCCAGCCCCTGGCAAGCAGCATTCTCTATGGGTTTGAGTCCTCCAGGTACTTTATATGAGTGGAATGATATAGTATTTGTTGTTTTGTGACTGGCGTATTTCACTTAGCATGAGGTCCTCAAAGTTTACATCACATGGTGTAGCGTGTCGATGATATTTCCTTCTACTTTATATGTATGCCACATAGCACCTTGGTTTGCCCATTTATCTGTTGCTGAACATGTCCTTGATGAACCATACATGTCATAATGGGTTGCTTCCAGCTCTTGACCACATTTTGTTGATTTCGTTAATCATTCAAGACCAAGAAAACATACCTGGATTTAAGCCCCGGTCTCTGTTTGATACCTGACTTCTGACTGCTTTTTACTTCCAAGGATCCTCCAGCTTTAGGAGTTGAGAAGAATTTTATACAATGTGGCCTTTGTTAAGCCTGAAACTGCTTTGGGCCTGTTGAAAACTCCCTTTTATTTTCTGAGTCCCTACTCAGACAACACTTCTTCCAGAAGCCTGGTGGGGACCAAGTTTATACCGCCAGAGGCCACAATGTAAGGTGAAGGCTTTTTGTTTGTATCTGTTGGGTGCCCGTTGTTTTCCTAGTGTCATTTCTACCTTTTCCCAAAGCTCGTGCGTTTGTTTCCATATTTTAAAAATGACTATGATGAGATGTCGTTCTGAAATTAGGAAGTACAGTAATACAACATTATTATCATGATACAGGTTTGCATTTATAAGGTGAGCTCCCTTGGGGCTAGTCATTTTTATTTTTTTTAATTATACTTTAAGTTCTGGGATACATGTGCAGAACGTGCAGTTATGTTACATAGGTATACATGTGCCATGGTGGTTTGCTGCACCCATCAACCCGTCATCTACATTAGGTATTTGTCCTAATGTTATCCCTCCCCTAGCCCCCGACCCCCTACAGGCCCCAGTGTGTGATGTTCCCCTCCCTGTGTCCATGTGTTCTCATTGTTCAACTCCCACCTATGAGTGAGAAGATGCGGTGTTTGGTTTTCTGATCTTGTGTTAGTTTGCTGAGAATGATGGTTTCCAGCTTAACCCATGTCCCTGCAAAAGACATGAACTCATCCTTTTTTATGGCTGCATAGTATTCCGTGGTGTGTATGTGCCACGTTTTCTTTATCTAGCTTATCATTGGCATTTGGATTGGTTCCAAGTCTTTGCTATTGTGAATAGTGCTGCAATAAACATACGTGTGCATGTGTCTTTATAGTAGAATAATTTATAATCCTTTGGGTATGTACCCAGTAATGGTGAGAGACAGGACTAGCTGGATTTCCTAGGCCAACTAAGAATCCCTAAGCCTAGCTGGGAAGGTGACCGCATCCACCTTTAAACAGGGTGCTTGCATCTTAGCTCACACCCGACCAATCAGGTAGTAAAGAGAGCTCACTAAAATGCTAATTAGGCAAAAACAGGAGGTAAAGAAATAGCCAATCAACTATCACCTGAGAGCACAGCGGGAGGGACAATGATCAGGATATAAACCCAGGCATTCGAGCCAGCAATGGCTACCCTCTTTGGGTCCCCTCCCTTTGTATGGGAGCTCTGTTTTCACTCTGTTAAATCTTGCAACCGCACTCTCTTCTGGTCCGGGTTTGTTATGGCTGGAGCTGAGCTTTCGCTTGCTGTCCACCATTGCTGTTTGCCACAGTCACAGACCTGCCGCTGACTTCCATCCCTCTGGATCCAGCAGGATGTCCACTGGGCTCCTGATCCAGCAAGGTGCCCATTGCCGCTCCCGATCGGGCTAAAGGCTTGCCGTTGTTCCTGCACAGCTACGTGCCTGGGTTCATCCTAATCGAGTTGAACACTAGTCACGGGGTTCCACGGTTCTCTTCCGTGACTCGTGGCTTCTAACAGAACTATAACACTCACCACATGGCCCAAGATTCCATTCCTTGGAATCTGTGAGGCCAAGAACCCCAGGTCAGAGAACACGAGGCTTGCCACCATCTTGGAAGCGACCGGCCGCCATTTTGGAAGCGGCCCGCCACGATCTTGGGAGTTGGAACTCCCGGTTCCAACTTGGGAGCAAGGAACCCCGGTAACAATGGGATTGCTGGGTCAAATGGTATTTCTGGTTCTAGATCCTTGAGGAATCGCCACACTGTCTTCCACAATGGTTGAACTAATTTACACTCCTACCAGCAGTGTAAAAGCATTCCTATTTCTCCACTTCCTCTCCAGCATCTGTTGTTTCCTGGAGGCTAGTCATTTTTTCTCAAGCCCAGGTCTTAAGCAGATAACTGCCCTGGGTGTGCAGTAATATGGTTTATGGTGTCAAAGGCGAGATCTCTTGTGTGATAGGCTAGAGATTCTCTCTGATGCACTCGATTATCATTTTCTATTTAAAATAGGCATTTTGTTTATCTAGGAGAGCATTAATTACTAATTACTAACATTTACCGATAAACAACTATAAGAAATATTTAAGTAAGTGTTTTGTTAGTATGTGTCCTTGAAAACTTACTGCAAGTGAACATGTAATTTAACTTGGCCTTTTTCTGATTGCATCGTTTCTTGCCGTTGCCTGTCCAGTGGGAGTATTTATTGAATTCTTGCCCTTTGGGGCTTCCCAGCTGTCTGGGTATCAAAAGCTCCCAATGGATTTTTTTCTCCTGCCCTTGAGGGGAGTCTGTTCCTTTTGGCTTCCAGCTTAGAATAAAAGAGCCACTAATCTGTCTGCCCCATGAACCTTTACTTAAAGATGTTCTTTTAGGCTGGGTGCGGTGGTTCACCGCTGTAATCCCAGCACTTCTGGGAGGCTGAGAAGGGCGGATCCCTCAAGGCCAGGAGTTCGAGACCAGTCTGGCCAACATGGCAAAACCTCATCTCTACTAAAAATACAAAAATTAGCTGAGCCTGTAATCCCAGCTACTGGGGAGACTGAGGTACAAGAATCACTTGAATCCAGAAGGCAAGGGTTGCAGTGAACTGAGATCACGCCACTGCATTCCAGCCTGGGCAACAGAGCGAGACTCTGTCTCAAAAAAAGAAAAAAAAAAGTTATTTTAGCTTTTTCTGCTTGCTCTTGGAAAAACAAAAATTAGGGAGCGGCGGGGAGACAGGAGAGGATAATGACAGACAGGTTCATCTGACAACTAACCTTAAAGGGGCCTTGTCTATTTTTCAGAACCTACATTAAGAAACGCATTCAGATGCATCAGCCGTTTGTAAAGCACCTGTCGTGAGCCAGGTAAGATGTGTAGCGTTTTCAAAGCTGTTTTATTAAATCCTCACAGAAACCTTTCCAAGTTGCCGTTTTTCAGCAGGGCGATCTGTGCTGAAGTAAGCTACCTCGCTTGGCTCACACAGCTAAAAGTAGACGCACCAGCCTAGGGCTTGGCGTTGTCCGCCTCTAAGTTTAGGGCTGTAATCCGGTTCTTTCACCAAAGAAGACACAGTGGCTGCCTCACAGGGACCTGGAAACAGTGTCTAATTCCCAGTTCTGGTGGGATTTCCCCTGTGTCTTACTCTCTTGGCTGATGATCAGTAGATCTATTTATCACTTCTAGGAGCTGCGCCTTAAGTCTTCATTTCAGCCTCTTCGTATGGACCTCACTGAGGCTCTGAGGGGGAAGTGACTGCTTAGACCCACCACCCACCCACCCAGCTTGTTCTGTCGGGAATGGTTCTGACCCTCTTCCATGGAGAGGCATGTGTTTGTCTGGGTGGAGAACATTTCCAGAGGAGCATGGCCCCCTGAGAACTGGTCCGGGTATGGCCACAGTTCAGCACTCTGGTTGGATTCTGCACATGAAACATTTTGAAATCTTTTCAGTGGAAGTTTGGTTCTTGGACAGCTCTCTTCTGCTGTCCCCTAAACCCCCTATTCCTACTGAGATCAGAGGCCATTTGTTGTACATAGTCATCGCCCAGGTGCCAGCGTAGGGCTGGGTGCCCGGGAAGCCTCCAGTAAGCAGCACAGAGGTGCGGGGTGCGTCTCAGGATGCCAAGACTTGATCCCGACTCCATCATTTATTATTCCTGTTCTCTTAACCTTTTAAGCTTCAGTTTCTTTGTCTTAATAAAAAGGGGGCATGTGAAGAGATGACAGTAGTCCTTCATGGTTTTGCTGTAAGGACTCACTGAGCAAAAAACGTGTAATGAGGGCAGGTATGGGCTTTATTAATTTTTGTATCCTGAGGTTGGTATTCACTACATATTCATCAGAATGATGATGAAAAAGTAAGGAACCCCCCCACTCTGAGTTTCATTTGCTCCACTTCGAAAACTAAGATACTGGTGTTAATCTGTGGTTCCTGGGGGCAGAGGGCTGCTCATCAGAAATTCCTTGAGGGCCTTTCCCAGAAGCACAGGACCAAGCCCCACCTCTGAAATTCTGATTCCTGCCATCTTGGCTGGAATGTGGCATTTGGGTTCTGAAACATGGGTCCTGGGGATTGTACCACACAGCCCTGGTGAGGCGTGATGGGCCCTCCAGACCCTGAGGTCTCTCGCCTGATCCTTTCTGGGTTGGGCAGGTTGGGGGCACATGGAGTGGCTAGCAAATGGTTAGGGTTCTGACAGTTTCCCACTCCACCCCTCTACCTTCCACCCGTTCTTCAAGGCCCACTTTATTTTTATTTATTTATTTTTTTTGAGACGGGGTCCCGCTGTCTTGCCCAGGCTGGAGTGTGGTGGCGCGATCTCCGCTCACTGCAAGCTCCGCCTCCTGGGTTCATGCCATTCTCCTGCCTCAGCCTCCCGAGTAGCTGGAACTACAGGTACCGCCACCACACCCGGCTAATTTTTTTGTATTTTTAGTAGAGACAGGGTTTCACCGTGTTTGCCAGGATGGTCTCGGTCTCCTGACCTCATAATCCGCCCTTCTCGGCCTCCCAAAGTGCTGAGATTACAGGCGTGAGCCACCGTGCCCAGCCTAAGGCCCACTTTATATGCCACCTTCTCCAGAATGACTGCCCGGGCCTCCTGAGCTGGAAAGTGCTCTCTCTCTCTGCTGAATGCCTTGTGGTCCTGCCTCTGGGGTTTTGTAATGCTGCAATCAGCCATAAGCTTGTGAAGGACGCGGCCTCGCTTGATGCAACATGGCACCCCACAGCACCTTCGCCGGGCTCTTGCATCCAGTTGGCATATCATTATATATTTACATATGTCACCGATACATTTATGAATAACTGTTTCAACAGCTAACTCTTTGGCTTTATAAATCACAACTGCATCTCCCAAGATTCCTTCTGTGTCTCTTCAGACCAGTAACACAGAATGTCTTTGTTAAATTGGACCTTTTTTTTTTTAAATAAACTGGAGACACTTGGGGAGAATAAAATGATGTACTCTGCTTTTGTAATTAGCTGTGATGATTAGACTATCTTCTTCATAATGTCTTATTTTTACTTGCTTTGGAATTTATCAAGTGCTCTCTTTTCTATGAAGGTTACCCTTCAAGTGAGTAAGGGGGCTTGATTAGAACACTGGGGGATTTACCTTGTACTTTTTAAAAATAAGACTCATGATGGAGAAGGCTGATGTGAGCCGATGGTGAAAGGTCAGCCTGGAGCTATAAAAAGGGGTCTCTGAGCTGAGAAACTGAAACCGATGCTCCCAGACCAAGATTTTTTTTTTCTGCCATCAACTGCTGAAGTAATTAATAGTCACTTTTATTTTAGAATTTGTTTTATATTTAACAAAGCAGCCTGTCATGGCTTCTCTTCATGCCCAGGGCAAGGTCCTTTCTTTTTTTTTTTTTTTTTTTTTTTTTTCCCCTTAAGTGCATTTATAATTACATTGATCAGCTCTGAGTTTGTGATATGCCAAGTCCTTGAATGTGATACTCATTTGCTTTCACGTTTTTGATGCAAATGGATCTTGGAATCCATTCTAGAGTGCTTTGGTAGATTTTTTAATCCACAATAGGCAATTTATCTTGTTCAGCCTCTACAAGGACTGTCTGGTATGGCCGGTCTGGGCATCTGGCTGGCCACGAGCCTGCCCAGTAGGGACTCAGTTGGGACCTGCTGAGAGCAGTTTCACTTTCGCATTTGCTTCCTCTTGTCCACAGCTGAACTGAGAGGTGTTCTCGGGGATCCCTAGAGTATTGAGAACAAAGAGCAGAAGGAAGAGCTTGCATACTTCTATTTTCCATCCATTCAGTGAATATTTAGTGCCTGCCCCAAGGCAGGTTTTGAGGATACAGCAGACGGCACAACAGGCAGACATATCCTTGTGGACGTGCTCTGGCACCAAGCTGTTTCCAACTCAGCACATGTGGGAAAGGAACTGGCACTTTTTTGTATCCTTGCTATCTTCGGCATATGTGGGCATACTTATTTAAGCCTCACAACTGTCTGTGAAGTAGGTATTATTAAGGGTTATGTAGGCCACATGTATCTGTGAACATCATACTGGTGTGTGGTGTTTTGCATAATAGAGCTATGAAATTATGCAGCTGGGGTTTGAAAATAAACCCTGCCTTTGGCCATCTAGATGTTGAACAAGGGACTTAAATGCTCACAGCCTCCTCCTCTTCCCCTGTTTTGAATGAGGCTAAAGGTTGGACCTCTCAGGATCATTTGGTAGTTAACACTTTGCAAGTTGGCATGGATACACACAGGTATTGTAAACCTGTGTGTGCTTGAAAAGCAGCGGCTGTTTCTGCCTGTGATTCTGGAGTTACTTCTGGATTTGATCCTATACAGAATGCTCTTATATCCTGTTCATTATAGGGAAGGAAGCTTGTGGCAGGGAATCTGCAGACCCACGTTCCACCTGGTTCTATCATCAAATTGTGTGGTCTCGGACAAGTTCCTAGACCTCTCTAGTTCTCAGTTGTCGCATATCTGAAATGAGACGATGGTGCTGATTTCCCTTTGGATTAATTTCTCCTTGGATTAATTTCTCTTTGGTGGCTTTGTTTAGGCCCCCCCTTCATTTCCATCAAGACTTTCTCATGTTTCAGTTTCATATGGCGGAGGGCTTGCCTGGCTGCCTCATTGATCACTGTGACCCTCGCCTGGCATTCCCATCCCTCTTTACCCTGTTCTGTTTTTTCTTTATTTTCATAGCACTTATCACTTTTCTTTCTTTCTTTCTTTCTTTTTTTTTTTTTTTTTTTTTTTGGAGACGGAGTCTCGCTGTCTTGCCCACGCTGGAGTGCAGCGGCCCAATCTCCACTCACTGTAACCTCCGCCTCCCAGGTTCAAGCAATTCTCCTGCCTCAGCCTCCCAAGTAGCTGGGACTACAGGTGTACGCCGCCACGCCCGGCTTATTTTTTGTATATATGTTTTTTTAGTAGAGACGGGATTTCACTGTGTTGCCCAGGCTGGTCTCGAACTCCTGAGTTCAGGCAATCTGCCCGCCTTGGCCTCCAAAAGTGCTAGGATTACAAGTGTGAGCCACCGTGCCCAGCCTTTATCGTACTTAGCACTTTCTAACAGACTGTATGTTTTTTTAAATTTGTTGTGTTTATTTTTATAGACAAAAAACACATGTTACCTTTGCTGGAATGTAACCTAATTAAGGGGCGAAATCTTTATCGATCTTGTGCCCAGACCACCTTGAAGCCATGAAGGGATGCTCAGGAGGCTTTGTTAAATATAAAACAAATTCTGAAATAAAAGTGACTATTAATTACTTCCACAGTTGATGGCAGGAAAAAAAAAACTTCATCTGGGAGCATCGGTTTCAGTTTCTCAGCTCAGAGGCCTCTTTTTGTAGCTCCAGGGCTGACCTTTCAACGTTGGCTCACATCAGCCTTCTCCATCATGAGTCTTATTTTTAAAAAGTACAAAGTAAATACCACAAACAGGTATTGTGACTTGTGGAACAAGTTGTCGAGAAAATTACAAAGAATAGTTCCTTCTGCTGCTATCTGCTTAGAGCCAGCCTGGCTCTAATAGCTGGGGCCTTTGTGTGTTCTCTTCTTGGGCATAAAGAGTTTCACAGAATACAATATAGAGTGATGGAGTCACTCTATGTTGGTAATAGAACAAGACAAAAACAAGACCACTCAATCATCAACACTGAGCACAGATAAAAGCAAGATCACTGCAAGGCACAAAAACAACCAAACATTCCCCAGTCTCAGCTCACACGAATGTTTCTTTACCGATTATGGCTTTAGCCTCATTCTGTTCCTCCTGCCTCTTAGATAAAAATTAGGAAGCTACGTCATCATAAAATTTCTGCTCTGTTGACAGCACCCAATTCAGAGCAAAACTACATTTCCCTGAGCCTACCCCTAAATCACTGAACACAGTCCAAATTGTATAATGAGCTCCTCCTGACATCCTCTTGCTGAGATCTCTGAAATTCTGCCTGTTGTAGTGTCCACCTTGCTGCAGTGAACCAATGAACCCAACTTTGTTTGACCACAGGTATGTTCCTGGTAGTCTTTAACTGGAGCCGGTGGCATAGTCGCTTGGTGAATAAAACTTTGTCCTAGGCATCACTGTAGAAATGTGTAGGTTATTTTACAGCTGAATGGTATTGAATAGACATGTACACAGTTTAATTGGAGAGCTGAGTCACTTGATAATTGTGGAAACAGAGCAGGATGTGACAGAAGGCAGAAATGCAAAGGTTGGGTAAGTGTGCCTCGAAGTAAGTGACTTGAGAGAAGGAGAAAGCCTAGAAGGCTGGGGCGGTAGAGAGAAGGTAGCTAGGGCTGGAAGACACAGTGGGGTCTTGAGTAAATCGCTTGTTTAGGAGTCAAGAGACCCAAGGTCTTATCCTGGATTTACTGCATATGAGCTGTTAACAAGTCCAATTGTTAGGTTTTTCATTTGTAAAAAACAGGGTCAGTAATCTCTCCTCCTTATCTCACATGGTAGTTAACTTGTGTGAAACACCTTGTAAAGTGTCTTGTGCTGGAAAAGTGTAAGGCCTGGCTCTAATTGTGGAGAGAATTAAAAAACATGCAGTTTCAAGGTGTTTCACCCATAAGCCAGGTGCCAAATGATCCCTCTCTGTCTTCCACCACCCAAACTTTAGAAATGGGGGTTGCCATAGGAACCTTGTCATTATCATTCAGCAGCTATAGACTTGCTCAGGTGGTGTCTTTTTTTTTAAGACCGGTTAGGTTACTTATAGGGTCTTGGGAGCAGGAGTGTGGTGGGAGGGGCATAAGAGAGAGGCAGGGATAGAATTAGAATGGGGAGCCAGCAAAACTCTTCCTCCATCAGATGAGGGGCCTGGGATCCAGCTGCTACCTTTATGCCCTCCGCCCTATCCCCCTCCACTCTGAGTCAGACTTGGTTGTTCAAGGATTTAAATGGGAAAATGTGTTAGCCAGATTATCCTTCCAAATAAGGTTATAAAGTCTACCGTATTAAAGAGGGGAAGATTTCCTTCTGTGGAATTTCAGATCTTGATAATAGTAATGGTAATAATAATAATACGACTGTCTGTCATTTATTAGGTGTTTGTTATATGCTGGACACTGGATTCAGCATTTGTGGGTGTTGCTTCCTTTAGTACTTGCAATAAATTCATTGTTATCCTTCTTTGCAAATGAGGAGGCGGAAACCTAGAGGTTAAATTACCCACCCACAGTCACCAGCCAGCTGGCCTCACAGCCCAGAGTTGAACTAGGTCCCTCTGACCTCAAGTGCGGAAGACTTAAGACTCTGCTCCCTGGTTTCCTTGCAGATAATCCTAGGATATGAGAGCTATTATCTAGAACACTCGTCTTTTAGATGGGAAAATAGGGGTTAGAAGAGGTGAAATCCCTGTTTGAAGGCCGTGTTATTGCTGCTGCTGGTGGTAGGGCCTGGGTGTGGCCCGAGATCTTCTGATCCTCAGTCCAGAGAGTGAATAGGACTTTTCTCCTGATGGGTTTAAATATGAGTGGTTGTGGTCGCTGGCAGTTTCTGCAACAGAAGTATGGTCCTCCTTTTACTTTTCTGTGGAAAAGGCCCTCAAGCTACAGAACCAGATCATTGCACCCCCACCCCCTACCAGCCATCTGACCCTGGGCTCCTTCTTTAATCTCTCCATCCCTTTGTATTTCCTCGTATGGAAAATTGGGATAACAACTGTACCTATACCTTAGTATTGTAATAAGAACTAAAGGAGTCCGGGCGCAGTGGCTCACGCCTGTAATCCCAGTACTTTGGGAGGCAGAGGCGGGAGGATCGCCTGAGGTCAGGAGTTTGAGACCAGCCTGGCCAACACGGTGAAACCCCGTCTGTAGTTAAAATACAAAAAAGTTAGCTGGGCATGGTGGTGCTCATCTGTAATCCCAGCTTCTTGGAAGGCTGAGGCAGGAGAATTGCTTGAACCTGGGAGGTAGAGGTTGCAGTGAGCCAAGATCGCACCACTGCACTCCAGCCTGGACAACAGACTGAGACTCTGTCTCAAAAAAAAAAAAAAAAAAAAAAAAGAGAAGAAAAGAAAAAAGAACTAAAGGGATTAATATGTTGAAAACTCATAGCCTGGTGTCTAGTACCCAGTAGGTTATGAGTGAGTACTGCCTGTTAATAATGTATCGCATCCCTCGTTTGAAGGATGTAGTCCTAATTTGAGTTTTTTTCAGTAGACTGGAGCTCCTGCCCTCACCCTATAGCATTCGTATCCTCTGAGATACATGGATACTGTTGAAGTTATGGTGAAGATGATGGGGTGCTGGGAGGTGGAGTGGAATGGGATTGATTGATGAAAAAACGACATTAGCTTGCTAAGGACACCCAGGTGGTTGAGATGTTCTGCGAAGTGGGCCTGTGTGTCTGCTGGACCTGGAGTTGAGGGGACAGCTTTCTTCTGAGGCAGCGTCTTATCCTGGGGTGACTCCGGGAGGCAAAAGCATTAACTATTGATGAGACTGATGACACACTATCATTCCTAGACCAGAAATGGTGCAAGAACAGAGAGGATTTATCCTGCTCTTCTTTCTCTACACAGTCCCTGTGTCAGAGAAGGTGTCTGCTGAGTGGACAGGCCAAGAACTGTTCTCTGGGACGGAGTGCAGATGAAGTAGGGGGTGTAAACCCATGAAGAACAATGAAGCAGAGCGAGTGAAGCAGGACAGGCTGGGGTGGAGGAGAAAGAATTTGCCTTTATTGTGCAATTAGCCTTTTCGATTCTTTAAAAGCTTTAGGAGATAGTGAATATGTCCCTCCAATCTACAGACCCGAAGAGGCATCTCGGGAAAGTGATTTGCCCAGGGGGACAGATCAAGGACCTGACCCCAGGTCCCTCTCTCTGCCTCAGAGGCCCTCTGGGATCCATTAAAGGGTCTTGTCTTGAGTAATTAACTGAATACTGGTTTATTCAGAATGAGGGGTCTTTAATTGGGGGATAGGCATACCTTTGGTAAAACCACTGGAGTTTTTGGGCCCAGTGTCTGGCAGTGTGCAAGGAGCGTGGGGCATCTTTGGCACAACGCGGCTTCAGGAAGAGCCCTCCTTCCCTTCCTGAGTAAGGCAGAGTTTGAGTCAGGCTGGGGTGGGCTCCTGGTGTGGGGACAGGTTATTGTGGGTGCTGGAGGGAATGACTTTCACTCTGAGTCATTCAGTGGCCTGCAGGGGTGCAGGGCTGGGGGTGGAGAGAGAAATAGAGGGCTGGCCAAAGACTCTCAGTGCCTGCCCTTTCTTACCCCTAGGGCCCATGAGCCTGGTTTAAAAACCGCTTATCCACCACCTCGTTTTCATTCTCACACACTGAGTCCTTTAGACGTAAGCCTGTTGGTGAGGAAGACTGTTGCAGTGGCTGAGATGTGCTGGGCGAAAGATTTTCAACTAGTCTTTTCCTAATAAGCACCTACTTGTTTATATTCTGAGCTTTCACAGCAGCATTCTAGAAAAAAGAAATACGGAGGACTCAAAAAAAATACGCTGCCTGATTTAGTTTTGATTGCTCACGTCTCTGGCTTCTTTCATGGAACTATTAATTGACTATAGGGAGTAGCTGCTTTTCGCACAATAAGCTCCTAGTCATGAAGCAAAATGGTGACATTGATCATTTTGGGGTCCCTCAGACTCTGGCAACGTTGAAACAGGCTGTCAGTTTTTTTTGTAACCACCAGTTAGCATGAGTGGGGGTGGCAGAAATTACCAGTTTGATTTTTGATCAGGGGCTATGGCTTATACTTAAGCTATTTGGAGGGAGGAGAAAGCGTGAATGAGCGAGTTAAGGCAGTAGAAAGATGGAGCCATGCTGGGTTTTTAGGCAGTTGTTTCAAAAACAACACAAAGTGAGAAATGGTGAAAACCAGGAACTGTTTGGCTTTTTCTAGTTTACAATGAGAGAAGAAAGATGTTTGGGGAATTTTAGAAGACTTGAGTCTATCGTGTAGTACATCTGGTGGAGTCCTTGTACAGGTCAGTTCACAGCGTACCACTGCTTAGAAGTGGACTGGATTTAATGGGGCTGGCTATTTATTCAGCAACAACTTATTATTCACCTTCTATGTATAAAGCACTACTCTGAATAAATGTCTTCTAAATTGTTAGAATCTAAACTATACTCAATATTGTTACCATGTGAAGCATATCTTATGGAATTATGATTTTTTAAAAAACTGTTACTCCCATGTCATTAAATGAAAAGTTTCAGAACAATGGTAGTTGAATGCAGTTTGGGTAAAACTGTGAATATCTAATATTCTATATTTGTGTATGCATGAAACATTTTGGAAGATGGATAAGACACTGTAAAATAATCAGTCTAATAAAGTCAGTGTTTTAATCCATGGTTGCCAGCATCACAAAAGAGAAACAACCAGATGTCATGTGCCTCTTGATGGAACTTTATCGGGGAACCTGCCCCGATAGTCACGTAGGTTCTTTTCTATTTTCCTAAGCGTCGGCTGGCTTGAGAAATAAAGGACAGAGTACAAAAGAGAGAAATTTTAAAGCTGGGCATCCGGGGGAGACATCACATGTCGGTAGGTTCCGTGATTCCCCACAAGCTGCAAAAACCAGGAAGTTTTTATTAGGGAGTTTCAAAAGGGGAGGGAGTGTACGAATAGGGTGTGGGTCACAGACATGAAGTACTTCACAAGGTAATAGAATATCACAAGGCAAGTGGAGGCAGAACGAGATCACAAGACCACAGGACAGGGGTGAAATTAAAATTGCTAATGAAGTTTCGGGCACCATTGTCATTGATAACATCTTATCAGGAGACAGGGTTTTGAGAGCAACCGGTCTGACCAAAATTTATTAGGCAGGAATTTCCTCTTCCTAATAAGCCTGGGAGCGCTATGGGAGACTGGAGTCTATTTCACCCCTACAGCCTTGACCATAGAAGATGGGCACACCTAGTGGGGGCCGTTTATAGACCTATACCCCCAGGCATGTATTCTCTTTCCGAGGGATGTTCCTTGCTGAGAAAAAGAATTCAGTGATATTTCTCCCATTTGCTTTTGAAAGAAGAGAAATATGGCTCTGTTCCACCTGGCTCACCGTTGGTCAGAGTTTAAGGTTATCTCTCTTATTCCCTGAACAATTGCTGTTATCCTGTTCTTTTTTCAAGGTGCCCAGATTTCATATTGTTCAAACACACATGCTCTACAATTTGTGCAGTTAACGCAATTATCACATGGTCCTGAGGCGACATACATCCTCCTCAGCTGACAGGATTAAGAGATTAAAGTAAAGACAGGCATAAGAAATCACAAGGGTATTGATTGGGGAAGTGATAAGTGTCCAAGAAATCTTCACAATTTATGTTTAGAGATTGCAGTAAAGACAGGCATAAGAAATTATAAAAGTATTAATTTGGGGAACTAATAAATGTCCATGAAATCTTCACAATCCACATTCTTCTGCCATGGCTTCAGCCGGTCCCTCCGTTTGGGGTCCCTGACTTCCCGCAACAGAACTTGGATCTGTTCAAGACCCTAGATCTAGCTATGAAGTCACAGGAAGTATACAGAGGGCAGAGATGCAGGTTAAATGACAAACAGAGACGCTGTCATGAAAATTCAGACAGCGGAAAACTCTGTAGAAAAACAGCTCTGTTCTTCACCAAGGAAATTGTAAAGGGGAAAATTTGATGGCACTGGTGGCTTGTGGATTTTAGATGAAGTTAAGGAATTAATGTTCTTTTCTTAGTGTGGTAATGAAATTGAGATTTAAAAATAAAGATTTTGAAACCCTCAGGACCAAGATGATAGTATATCGCGGATTTGCTTCAAAGTAATCACGGGGCGGGGAGAAAGGGAGTCATGGGAATGAGTAGGTTAGAGAGGAAACAAGGCTGTAATTATCATGACTTGATAATTACTGATATTGGGTCATAGGTACATAGGGACTCTCTTGTTTTAATGTTTTTAACATTTTTCATAATACAAATGTTAAGTGAAATAATGATTTAGTCTATTTCTTAGCCATTTCCTAAAGATATGCATTATAAGGTCCATTATAGGCCAGGCGTGGTGGCTCACACTTGTAATTCCAGCACTTTGGGAGGCTGAGGCGGGTAGATGATCTGAGGTCAGGAGTTCGAGACCAGCCTGACCAACATGGAGAAACCCCGTCTCTACTAAAAATACAAAATTAGCCGGGCATGGTGACGCATGCCTGTAATCTCAGCTACTCAGGAGGCTTAGGCAGGAGAATCGCCTGAACCCAGGAGGTAGAGGTTGCGGTGAGCTGAGATCGTGCCATTACACTCCAGCCTGGGCAACAAGAGTGAAACTCTGTCTCAAAAACTAAAAATAAATAAGTAAATAAATAAGATCCATTATACATCCCATCCTGGAATTTTTCAACTTGATGTGATGCTACAAAGATGATCTAGTTCCCTAATATCATTCCATGAACTTCTAGGATTCTGGGTTTCCCAGGGGCTGGGGGAGGTAAGGGAGAGAGACTCAGGTAAGTGGGACTTTAGAATCCTGTAAATACACTTCAATCACAGATGCGTCACCTGTGTGTTTTAGATCTTTGCATTTCCCGGAAGATTTTATTGGGGACAAAAAGGGGGCTTGTTATTTATAGAAAGAAAAGTTTGAGGCCAGGCGCGGTAGCTCACGTCTGTAATCCCAGCACTTTGGGAGGCCGAGGCGGGTGGCTCACGAGGTCAGGAGTTCAAGACCAGCCTAACCAACATGGAGAAACCCCATCTCTATTAAAAATACAACATTAGCCAGGCATGGTGGTGCGTGCCTGTAATCTCAGCCACTCAGGAGGCTGAGGCAGGAGAATCTCTTGAGCCCGGGAGGCGGAGGTTGCAGTGAGCCGAGATTGTGCCATTGCATTCCAGCCTGGGCAACAAGAGCCAAACTCCGTCTCAAAAAAAAAAAAAAAGTTTGGAAACCACACTCTTATTTTATAAACAAGGAAACCAAAGCACACAGAGGGGAGGTGATATACCCAAGTTCGCACGGTAGGCAAGTCGCCAATCCCCAGACCCCATGGCAGCTGTTTTTATGCTCTTCAGTCATGCCGGTCC
Source organism: Homo sapiens (assembly GCF_000001405.40). NCBI lineage: Eukaryota > Metazoa > Chordata > Mammalia > Primates > Hominidae > Homo > Homo sapiens. The sequence goes on along the minus strand of NC_000022.11, from coordinate 33,844,577 downwards.
CCAGTCATTACCCTTCAGACCTCTTGCACAGGGGCCCCAAGGAAGATAGGTCACCTGCATTCCAGCTTCCAGTGCTGCCTGATCGTCCTAAGTGGAAGCTGTGCTGAAATTGAAATCACTTCCTGTGTTCAAAGCACCGAAAGGAGAGCCCCATTGGAGATGCACTTACTGCATGCTCCCAGCTCCCAGCTTGCTCTTTACTAAACTCCCTGTGCCAGGGAGCATTATAGCAGGAGGAATACATTGAATTTGGGAAACAAACAGTCTCATTGGGACTCTTCCTGGGCTAGAAAGCCTGTATGTTGAACACTTAATCATTTTTAATGCTTGTTTCACCTGCTCTCATCTTTATTTGCCCTCAATAAAACCAAGAAACCTTGGACGGTCTCAAGAGGTATCCTGTCTTTCAGGGTTAGGGACACTGTGGAACACAGAATCTAGGGTTGCAAGTCTTGTCTGTAAATTGGAGGTTTTTTCTTGTCTTTTTTTTTTTTTTTTGAGACGGAGTTTCACTTTTGTCACCCAGGCTGGAGTGCAGTGGCACCATCTCGGCTCACTGCAACCTCCGCCTCCCGGGTTCAAGCGATTCTCCTGCCTCAGCCTCCCAACTAGCTGGGATTATAGGTTCCCACCACCATGCCCAGCTAGTTTTTTGTATTTTTAGTAGAGACGGAGTTTTAATGTGTTGGGCAGCCTGGTCTCGAACTGCTGACTTCAGGTGATCCGCCCGCCTTGGCCTCTTAGGAAAGAAAGGAGATGAGTAAACTAGAAGTGGGAGGAAGGGTGCCGGGAACAGACTGTGGGAACAGAGTTGCACATATATTCTCTTACGGCCATTTTGGACCAGTGGCCTTTAAACTTCTTTTACTGCACTCAAACCTGCAGGATAAGACTTGTTTTCATCAGTAACATTTGAGTAGAGGTTTGGCCAGGTTGTGGGTACAGGGAGGGCTTGGGGCAGGGGTGGGACCTCTGGAGAGGATGGTGGTGGGACTGCTAGAGGGTTTGAGTGCGGTTTGAATAAACCCCCATATGCATTTTGGATCTTCCTGCATCCGCTACTCTTTCCCTGTCTACCTCTGTTGAGACCTCTTTAATTTTTTATTTTTATTTATTTATTTATTTATTTATTTATTTTTTTGAGAGGGAGTCTTGCTCTATCCCTCAGGCTAGAGTGCAGTGGTGCAATCTCGTCTCACTGCAAACTCTGTCTCCTGGGGTCGGGCGATTCTCCTGCCTCAGCCTCCCAAAGTGCTGGGATTACAGGCATGAGCCACTGTGCCTGGCCCAAAGTGCCAATCCTTACAGCCACCCTCTCTGCCTTCCAGTCTGGAAGGGACATACTCCCGACCCACTGCAGTATACTGAACAAAGATGTTCACACGCACAGGGCGGTGGGGAAGGAGAGCTGACCCATTCACAAGCAGGGAAGATAGAACGGAAAATCAAGGACAGCTTCACAGAAGAGATAAAGCCTGGGTTGGGTTGTGAGGATGAAAAGGATGTCTTCCAGGAAGGCTAGGAGTATGGAAATCCAGGGCCACGTGAACAACATAGACAGGACCCCCCCAGAGGAACAAAACAGATGCCCTGTTTGGAGAACTGTAGGTGTTGTGGTTTTTTTGTTTTGTTTTGTTTTGTTTTGTTTTGTTTTGTTTTGTTTTGTTTGTGCTAGAATGGGAAATGTGAGTGAGAGAGAGCAACAGGTAAAATGCTGGAGACATTCTCAAGAGTAACATCCCAGCTGCCCTCTAGATCAGTAGCCATTAGCGGCATGTGGCTACTTTAAATGAGTTGAAATGAAATAAAATTAAAAATACAGTTCCTTAGTCTCAATAGCCACCTGCAGCTAGTGGCCACCATATTTTAGAGCACAGATGTAGAAAATATACATCATGACTGTTGGGCAGTGCTGGGCTGAATGTTTCCTTATTTGGCTCACATCTGTCAAGCTGCACCTGGTGTTTCGTGACACCTGCACGCGTCAGGTTTTGGAGTGGCTTGCTTCGTTTTGGTAGAAGAGCCTGTACTGGCTGCTCAGGGCCACAGTGGATGTGCCAGAGAGATTGAATGTATAGTTAGAAGCAATGTACAATTGCTCAAGATATGAATATTAGTAACTTTGTTTTATTTTTTAGCACTGCTCAGATGAATATATAAAAATCCGAAGAAATATGTTATTTCCCCTCTAAGCCAGCAGAGCTACTAGTTTTATTAAGCAGACAATGGCAAATCTATTTTTAATTTAATTTTTTATTAAAAAATGCCCTACTGCTTGAGATTCTAATCTCTAGCTGAATAGTAAGTGTCATTTTCGAGTTGCGAATCGCCAGAGCAACAGCGTGCGTCGAAGGCACTTAATAAATAGGATTCGGTGCTTTACGTCCGTGTAGAGACAAAAATAGATCAAAAAGCTTTTCGATTTTACTTTTGAGTACAGTGTTCTGACTTTCTAGATGGTAAGGAACCATTTAGAACTATAAAGGGATTTCGATTTCGATAACAGTAACTGTGTTTAATGTTACAAACTTTCTATTTTGTAAGTGGCTTTCTTTGAAGTCCTGTTGGCAGTTTGTTAAATATTTTAGACTGTTATTTGTGACCAAGAGGTTCAGTTTGGAGGACTTTTTGTGATTCACCCGTGTGCTTTAAAATAATTTGCCACTATTTTTGGAGTACTCGGTCCCAGGAGATTTGTGCATGAGTCCTGATTTTGTCTCTTAGTAGCAGTGTGACTCAGGGCAAGTCACATAGCCTGTGCTGAGGATCTCTTGGCTTTCTGACTTTGTATTTATTCACCCTGCTTAGTTTTCCCAGGGAGACCCACACTCACACCCACCCTTTAGCCCATGGACTTTGGTGGAGATGATATTGTGCAGGGCTTCAGGGGGAGACATAGGACTCAGATTATTCCTAATACTGGCTTATAGTAATTGGCTTAGAGGTGGTTTCATGACCTAGTTGGAGCCCACAAGATGTGATGAGGCTTTTGTTGGGGCTGTTGAGAGGTATGTGTGTTCTTTCCCACTGGCCTTGAACTCAGAGGTTGGAGCTGCGGATATTGTAGCTACATCCAACCTAGTAGCTGTCTTGCTACTGCATGGCATCTGAGTATGAAGTCCGTGTGGATGAGAGCAGAGCTGAGGTGGAGAGGGACCAGGCCATCTCCTGGACCCAGATCAAACCTTGCCACAGGGTAGATTCACCTCTGGACCTTACAGATTGTGAACTATTCAGTCCTTTATTTTGCCTGCATTAGTTTGAGTTGGATTTTCTGTCACTTTCATTGGAAAGCTCCCTCAAAAACTCTGAAACATTTTTTGTACATTTGTAAGAGGAAAAAAAAATGAGAGTAACAGAACAGACGCACCTTGGCTTAGCATAGATTGCATCCTGCTAAACCCATCGTAAGTTGAAAATATCAAGTTCAAAATTTGCGTTTAATACATTTAACCTACATTACAGCATAGTTTAGCTTAGCCTGCCTTAAACATGCTCACTTTCATTGGCCTGTATTTGGGCAAAATCATGCAACCTAAGCCTAGGTATATTAAATACTGTACTGAAAATGAAAAACAGAATGGTTATATGGGTACTCAAGTATAGTTTCTATTGAATGCATATTGCTTTTGCATCATCATAAAGCTGGAAAGTCATCCAGGTGCAGTGGCTCACGCCTGTAATCCCAGCACTTTGGGAGGCTGAGGCGGGTGGATCACTTGAGCCCAGGAGTTCGAGACCAGCCTGGGCAACGTGACGAAACCTTGTCTGTATAAAAACTAGAAAAATTAGATGGTCATGGTAGCATGTGCCTGGGGAGTTTAGGCTGCAGTGAGCCGTGATCACGCCACTGTGCTCCAGCCTGGGTGACTGAGCGAGACCCTTTCCCAGAAAAAAAAAAAGCTGAAAAATCTAAGTCGAATTATCCTAAATCGGGGACTGTCTGTACTTACCTTATATCTAGGGTTGCTGTAAAGATGAAGGAGGGCAATAGATCCAATAGTACTTTAAAAGTGGTAAAATACTAGATATTTGCAAGAAAAGATGCTAGAACCTTTCACACCAAATTTTGACTGTGTGAGAAATAAATCAACAATGTAGTTTCACAGCTCCAAGCTAATAGAGATTAAACTATATTACTCTCAGTATTTTGCCAAAGTGAGTTGGTCTTCAAAAATAGTTTTAAAAGAATGTATGTATAAAAAGTTTTTAAAGACAGGAAGTAAAACTGCAACAGGATTTCTTATTCATTTTTATGACCATTTTTGTCTTTTAAAAACTAGGTCCCTTTTTATGCATGGATTCTATTATTTTTCCTAGATTTTACAGTGAGGGGATGTGCATTTTCTTGAGGGGGTGCCGATTTGGTGCAGTGCTGCTTTGCATATATTATTAAATCAAATAGTTTTATAATTGAATATGAAGTAGGGCAAAATCCTAAACCTAGTTAGTATGGGTGTGCATTTCCTGCGTATTCATTTTCCTGTGTTGGTTTACATAGTTTCTTACCACCTTCAATTCGGAGGCATTTTAGAGGCATTTTCTCTAATGATCTGGCCCATAGATCGTTTCATAAGTAAATGGGATCAGCAGGGTTTTATGTCTCCTACAGCAGAAGGTGCCTGGGCTTTAGGGTTGAATGCATCTGGGTTTGAAGCCTGGAGCCCCCACGTTTCCTGGGTCCAGGTGATCTTCTCTGGAACAATGAGGGGCATAGTTCATTGTAGTAGGCATGCATGAAAGTTAGATGAGGTGACGCAAGTCAAAGTGCCTCATACCTGGTAGGTAGTTAATAATCGCTTTTCTTATTTTTTTATTTCATGTAAACGTGTGATTTGAAGGCAGTCAGTCTGTCTCTAGGGAAATTAAGAATTTTAGCAAAGAATCAATTGGTCCCCATAGCATTCATATTTTAACTGTTCAGGCTACTAAATCTTATTCTCACTAGTTGTTCTGTTTTTGTGATCTATACAGGCTGCGGTAGAATGAGAATGTTCTCTATTGGCATGCTAACATATGGTCACTTATTTGTTCAGTTATTTATTTGTTTGTTCCAACATATGTGTAAATGGGGATCTTCTCTGCCAGGGGTTGAGGAAAACATGCTTTTTTCTCGCTGATATGGTTTGGATGTTTGTCTCCTCCAAATCTCATGTTGCAGTGAAATCCACAGTGTTGGAGATGGGGCTGGTGGAAGGTAATTAGATCATGGGGACTGATTCCTCATGAATGGGTTAGCACTGACCCCTTGGTGATGAAACAGTTCTTACTCATGAGAAATCTGGTTGTTTAAAAGAATCTGAGACCTCCTCCCTCTTTCTTGCTCCCACTTTTGTCATGTGACGTGTCTGCTCCTCTTTTACCTCCCACCATGATTGTAAGTTTCCTGAGGCCCTCTCCAGAAGTGCAGAAGATGTGGGTGCTATGCTTCTTGTACAAGCCTGCAGAACCATGAGCCAGTTAAACCTCTTTTCTTTATAAGTTACTCAGCCTCAGGAATTTCTTTCTAGCGATGCAAAAATGAACTAATATCCTAAATTATTTCTTGACTTTTTGGTGGGTCTATGGACTGGGCTATTTCTGAAGCCACTGTTTAGGTAAAAGCATTGGTTTCTATCAGAAATTCTACATTCACTTCCTCTCCTGGCAAAGGTTTTTCTATTATGGGAGTAGTTCATTCCTTTCATTTTTTTCCTCCCTGATATAAACAAAAAACGTGGAGAGCCGTCACGGGTAAGATGGATTGGATTAATTCTGCAGACACAATCAGGGAGACCCAGGAGCCTTTGGGGGAGTGAGGGAGATGAACATCATCTCAGGAAGAACTTTTAACCTCTGGAACTCCCCACCAGTAGGACGGACTGTTCCAGAACGCAGTGGTGATCTACTGCCAAAGATGTTTTATTAGGATAGAAATCGCTAAAGGACAATTATTTATTTATTTATTTATTTTGCTGGGGACAGGGTGGAGTGCAGTGGCACAATCATAGCTCACACTGCAGCCTCAAACTCTTGGGCTCAAGTGATCCTCCTGCCTCAGCCTCCCAAGTAGCTGGGACTGCAGGCATGCTCAACAACATCCAGCTAATCTTTAAACTTTTTGTAGAGATGGGGTCTTGCCCTGTTGCTCAGGCTGGTCTCAAACTCTTGGCCTAAAGGAATCTTCCCATCTTGGCCTCCCAAAGTGCTGGGAATACAGGCATGAGCCACTACACCTGTCCAATTTTTTAAAACACATTTTTTGAGATCCTAGTGGCTGTATGAGTCACTGAAGATTGAATAGACGAGATTTCAGCAGCCATAGTCCCCACATAGAATGTCAGAAGCTTGAAGTTCCATGTTACTAGAGATTGTGTAGGGGTAATGATTGAGAGCAAGAGTCTGCATTCTGTGGGCCAGTCTGTCTTCCTTTAGCCCATGAGCTAAGAATGGCTTTTACATGTTTAAAGTGTCCAAAAAAATCAAAACAAGAGTACTGTTCTGTAGCACGTGAAAATTAAATTTCACTGTCCATAAATTAAGTTTTCTTGGCACACAACCATGCCTGTTTCCTCTTATCTGTGGTTGCTTTCCTACTACAGTGATTGCGAGTTGCCAGAGAGAAAGTATGGCATGCAGAGCTTACGTGATTTACTATCTCACCTTACACATAAAAATTTTGCTGGCCCGTGTTCTAAAGTAGAATATCCTCAACTTTCCCACCCTGAAACTTTGTGGAAAATGATAATGTTTGTTCAGTGTACTGGGATAAGTGGAAGATATCTTGCTGGCCTGGGGCTGAAGGCACCACCTTAGCACACCTGAGGCTCATTTGGGGCAGAGCCTCTTGAAGTTCTCATTGAGAGCCGGCTCTGGCCATAGGCTTCAGCCCTACCTGCAGCTGTTTGATACGAACACACTCACCTGGGTCAGCTCTTCTTCCGAGGCATCCTGAAGATGCCTCATGGACTCAGATGATCATAGTCATCTATGTAGCTGACTCTCACAAGGGTTTTCACAGTTTACAAATGCTTTTCACTTAGGCTGCTTGCTTTTTCTCTGTTTTCAATGGTTACGTTTGTCTCTCACAATCCTTTTGGTCCTGGTCTCTCTCCACTTGAATTAGCCTTTCTTGAAGATGTTAGGGCATGCATGAAAGTGTTTGTTGTTAAAAAATTCGTAATGTTGCAGGGGGAGACAGGACAGGATATATATACATACACACATGTATATATAAACACATATATGTATACTATATATGTGTGTGTGTATATATCCTGTTCGTATCCATATGTACACATATGTATGTATGTATAGGTGTGTGTGTGTGTGTGTGTGTGTATATGTAATACTCTCTACTCCATATATATATATATGGAGTGGCATGTGAAAATTAAATTTCACTGCCCATAAATTAAAAGTATTGCAAAATCCCTGTGCCTTTGGCATTTCAATCACAATCATGGATGTAGCAGTGGGACAAGAGGCTGGAGAAAGCAGGGCCAGATCTTATAGAGTTAGCTGGAGGCGAAGCTCACTCTCCCACATGGAGGTCCCGTGTGCTGCCTGGGTTCTAGCCACATTCTTCTATATTGCTTGGTTGTACTACAGTTACTATTCTGGGATTCATGCACGACCCATCTCCCTTTTCGTTCTCAGTATGTTCATGGTAAACTGCTATTATCTGAACTGGCTTATTGAGTCTCTGTTTCTTGTGATCAGGTCATAATGGTAGTTGGTACTTACAGTGTTCCAGGTCTTGGCCTCACACTTTACATGGATTAATTCTTTTTTTTTTTTTCCAGTAAGGTAGATAATGATGGCCATCCCTATTTTACAGATAAAAAATCTGAATCACAGAAGGGTTAAGTTACTGGTCTAGGTCACCAGCTAGGAAATGAGAGGACTGAGGCTTGAACCCAGGTGGCTTGTTGCTGAAGCTCATTCTTTTTCTACCTTGGGCTGCCACTCGAAGCCATGGAATGCAGCTGAGATGCCTGGGTGTGGAACTTGGTGGGAACAGAGGGAACATTGAACCTTAAATGGGTCACAAACCTAGATAAGTGAGATCGGGCCTGGTCTGGTACAGCAGTTGTAGAAGTTGCAGGGTTCTTGGTGTGCAGGAAGCAAATGGACAAAAAAATATGACAAGGCTGGTCCTTGGTCCTGCTGGCCTGAGGGAACCTTCCAGTTTTCTGGCAGGGACTGTGAATGGGGAGACTAACACAGTTGACACCATTGTGTGCCAGGCATTTGTTACTGTATTTAATCCTCCTAATAACTCTGCAACTGGTGGTCTTGCTTCCATTTTCCCATATTACATAGGAGCTACCATGCTCAGAGAGGTAGAGAGCTCCCCTAGGATCAACTAGTGAATGGGGGCCAGAGCCAGAATTTAAACTTTGGAACCATCTGCCTCCACTGTCTTTCCTTTCCATCACACCAGCTCTGTAGGAAGCAGGCTGAACTGGACTGCACTCTAGTCACTGTCAACCTTTCCTGGTCACGGATCCCTTTGACAGTCTCTTGAAATGTGGCCTCTTCCCCAGAAGTGCTTGTTTGTGTACATGTATGCACACAGAATTTTGAATGCAAAATCTGGAGCTTTACAGAATCCCATTTATGGGTTCAGAGCTGTTTCTGACTTTGTAAAGTCAAGCTAAACCGGAGCTAATACAGTTGGGAGGAAGAGGAATGGAGTGATTGCTATAACTACTGGCTTCATCTGGATCTTTTTCCTGATTAGCAGTGACTTTGCTCATTCTGGTAGTTAACGCCTAATGTGTGTTAGGTTCCAGACCCAGACCTCACATGCTCGATTTTATTTCAGGACTGCTTTAACCGTATGCCTCAATTTCCCCTATTTTAAAGATGATAAAAGGAAGCTTGGAATTTGGACATTTATCCATGCCAGGTGAGCTGGAGAACCTGGCTTCTAACTTAGCTCTTCGTTATAACGACTTTCCAAATAGGCCGCAGTTAGTGCCAGCAAGTCTTTAGCATGAATAAGTGAGTGCTTGAGGATATTGCCAGGCTCTCAAATGTCATTTCTCACCTGTCTCTGTTAGGCAGCTCAGATCCACCAGCCTGGGGAATGCTGCTGAATTTCGGTTTTTATCCTGAATGCCATCCGATGCATTAATTAACATGACTGTGAAAGCACCTCACACTCTTGGAGGGTTATAGAACTAGGAAGTCCTTGCAGCCTCTATTGCAGGCAGCAGTGCAGTTAATCCCTGCTGAGACAGTGCCAAGCTGTCCAGGGAGTTGAAAATCACAGGAGGTTTGCAAAGACTTGCCTGCCTTTACAGACTCCAAAGTGTAGAATTGTAAATGACAGGACACTTAAAAATGCCACATATTGTGTGAATGCTTCTCTAGCAGTAAAATATTATACCACCATAAAGCCCTTATGAACATGTAATAATAATTTCTGCATAAGCACCAGCAATAAAGTGAAATTCAGCTCCATCCAGTTTTGCAAGAATTTTCCCTGGTGGAGAGTGCTAGCCATTGTGTGAATTCTCATCTGGGTGAAGAGAAACAAAATCCATTTCTCTGAACATGGTTATTCTTTGGAAATAGCTTTGGCCTCAAACTTTAGAGCAAAAATTATCCTGCATGGGAAATGCTAACTGTATCATTTCTAAAGCTGTAGCTTTGTCGCTGAGGCATATTAACATGATAGAAACTTTTCCTTGGGGCTCATGACTTGCCTCTGCCTGATTTTTTTCATAAACTTAAAGACCAGTGAATGGAGTGAGCAGTGCTCTCTTGAAAATTCACTTTTACCATTTGGCTTTTTTAAAAGAAAATTTTGTTCATCTTAAATGTTTATAGTAAAAACTATAGAATGGGATGATAAAGAAAACTTGCTCATATTCCTACCACCCTCCAGTTATTGCCGAAGGTACTTTCACTCGCGTCCGTGTGAAGAGACCACCAAACAGGCTTTGCGTGAGCAATAAAGCTTTTTAATCACCTGGGTGCAGGCGGGCTGAGTCCGAAAAGAGAGTCAGCGAAGGGAGATGGGGTGGGGCTGTTTTATAGGATTTGGGTAGGTAGTGGAAAATTACAATCAAAGGGGGTTGTTCTCTAGCTGGCAGGGGTGGGGGACACAAGGTGCTCACTGGGGGAGCTTTTGAGCCAGGATGAGCCAGGAGAAGGAGTTTCACAAGGTAATGTCATCAGTTAAGGCAGGAACCTGCCATTTTCACTTCTTTTGTGATTCTTCAGTTACTTCAGGCCATTTGGATGTATACGTGCAGGTCACAGGGGATATGATGGCTTAGCTTGGGCTCAGAGGCCTGACAGGTACATATTTTATATTTTCTTGATTATGATTATTTTTGCTCCCTATTTGTCTGAAAGCTCTACTAGAGAAGAAATTTTGTCCGTTTTGGCTGCTGTAGTATCCTTAGCCCTTAAAAAGACCTTATCACATAATAGATGCTAAACAAATATTAGTTGAGTAAGTATTATATTCTTGGTGATAGAAGGAGTCAGGCTTTATTACCTTGAATCCCAGCTTTCCCACTCGGTGGCTGAGTGGCTCCAGTAAGTTATTCAGCTTCCCCGAATTCCAGTGTTCTGCTAAAATGACAATAATTGAGCTGGGCATGGTGGCTCATTGCACGTAATCCCAGTACTTTGGGAGGCTGAGATGGGTGGATAACCTGAGGTCAGGAGTTCGAGACCAGCCGGACCAACATAGTGAAACCTCGTCTCTACTAAATACAAAAAATTAGCCAGGCGTGGTGGCGCATGCCTGTAACCCCAGCTACTTGGGAGGCTGAGGCAGGAGAATCGTTTGAACCCAGGAGGCAGAGGTTGCAGTGAGCTGAGATCACGCCATTGCACTCCAGCCTGGGCAACAAGAGTGAAGCTCCATCTGCAAAAACAAAAATAAAAATAAATAAATAAAAATGACAATAATTGTGCACAAAGACTGACCTCACCTAGTGTGTTAGTTTGCTAGCCCTATCGTAACAAGGTACCACAGACTGGGTGGCTTAAATGATAAAAATATATTCTATCACAGTTCTGCAGGCTAGAAGTCCAAGATGAAGTTGTTAGCAAGGTTGGCTTCTTCCAGGGCCTCTCTCCTTGGCTTGTGGAAGGCTGTCTTCCTGTGCCTTCATATGGTTTCCCCTCTGTGTTGTATCCTTATCTCCTCTTCTTATAAGGACACTGGTCATTCTGGATTAGGGCCCACTCATACATTCCCATCTTACCCTAATAACTTCTTTAAAGATCCTGTCTTCAAATACAATCATATTCTTAGGTACTGATGGTTAGAACTTTAACATATGCATTTTAGGGGAGGCACAGTTAAGCCTGTAACCGAGGGTCACTGGTTTGATTAGACTTTATAATTGGTAATCCGCCATTCAGATGTTTCAGTATTACATTAGTTTCAAATCTAATTGAGGAGATAATGTAATAAAAGGTAAACATAAATAAAAGTCAGCTACCTCTACAGGCTGAGACATCATCTGCTTGGTGAGCACAGTGCTCTTGGGGTTCTGGAGTTGACTGCCACCCCTGCACTGGGGCATCCTGCAGTTCTCCCGAAGGATGAAGGCACAGGTGCCTCTGAGACTTACTGAATCACTGTGGCCTGTGTTTACCCACCTGAGGGCAGTCACCACACCTCAGACCAGATGGGCCCGTAGTGCCTGCCAGGCCATGTCTGGCCCAGTCCAACAACAGTCGTCTAATAACATTTAGCACTTATTGAGTGCTTACTGTATACTGGACATAGATCCTGGGCCTCAGTCCAGAGTTCCAGTTAACTGCATGTGCCAGACCACACAGCATGTGCCAGAGTCAGTGTCAGGCTCTGTGCTCTCTTGCCTGCTGAGCTGGACCGGTTCCCAGGGAAGATATCTTTTTGCTGGCAGCTGGGAGCCCCAGCCAGTAGCAAGTCTGGGGCTGCAGCTTAAACAGCCTATGCACAGTGGGTACAGTCAGCTGATTCCGAGCCCTCTGGGGTTGCCGCATCTTAATCGACCCTTCCTGACTTCCATGCTGTTGAGGCCTGTATTGGAGGGTCCAAGCCACAGCTTGCGTGAAGCCTGGGGGCTCTGGGTCCAGGCTCCCTTGGTCACTGACAGCACTGACAGCACTGTCCCTTAACACTGACAGTGTGTTAAGGCTCGAGTTTGTCCCATGGGCCCTCCAGTTGTGTTTTGGACCTCTGTACCTCCATTCCCTCTCAGTTCTGTTCCTGATCTGTCTTGTTCTTTAGACAGAGCTCACAGGGTACCTCGGGCTTGGGCTTTGCTGTCTGGGACTTTTCACCGATGAGAATGGGACTCCATACATGAGAGAGGAAGATGGCTGTGTGCTGTCTTCTGGTTCTGGAGCTCGAGCTAAGTGAGCTCTGCATGTTTGAGCTTCCTAGGAATCTGGTCATTATGACTGATAGGTGCCAGGACTCATGCTGAAGGTACTCCAGTAAGAAAAGCACGGTATTATGGGAGCCCAGGAAAGGGGCCACTGACTAGAGGCTTCCAGGGAGATGTTTGATTCCTGAATCTTGAAAGCTGAGTTGGTGTTAGCTGGGTGAAAGGAAGAAGGGAGGGCTTTGCAGCCAGTGGGAACTGCAGGAACAGAAAGGTGAGAAACGTTTGAGGTGTGAAAGAGAGCATTATTCTAGGGCTGTTACTACCCATGTCCAGAAGCTTACGACTTGGAAAGGTGGAGTGGTTGCCTCGGGATTACGCCTGGGCCAGGCTGGGAGGGGCTTTGTGTGCTAGGCCAAGCAGCTTGAACGTTATCCTCTTTGGAGGCTCAAGTCTGTGTATGTGTATGTGTGTGTGTGTGTGTGTGTGTGTGTGTGTGTGTACATGCATGTGTGTGTGTTGTGTTAGGACCTGACCCTGTAGCTTCCACTGTTTGCTAGTGGTATGTCTATGTCTGAGTTTGCAAACTGCAAGTTCTTGTCCAGTTATCTTTTTTTAAAAACTTAGGAATACTTTTCCAATCCAATCGCTGGTTTTGGGAAGCCACTGTGAGTGGCTTGAGAGTGCTCCTCTGGCCCCAGGGGCCACTTAGGGACCTGGGCAGGCATCGGTCCTAGGGCAAGAGGAGAAGAGGCAGCTTCCGATGAGCCTCCCACTCCGTCCTCACGGCAGGGCTCCCCGCCCTCTCACCTGACATCTTCCAGCTCTCCAGGCCCTGGCTTCCTGTCTTCAGAGTGTTCTGGAGGAACAGGAAGGCAAAGCAGAGGGGGGGTGCATGTATGCACGCACATGCAAGATCAGAAGGGACTTTTTACGAATTCTTTCCTTGACACTCCTTTTTTTGTGTCGCAACTTTGCCTGTGAACCCTTAGAATCTCTGCTAATGAGCCGGTCGCAGTGGCTCATGCCTGTAATCCCAGCACTTTGGGAGGCAGAGGCGGGTGGATCACCTGAGGCCAGGAACCGAGATCGTGCCACTGCACTCCAGGCTAGGCGACAGAGCGAGACTCCGTCTCAAAAAAAAAAAAAAAGAAAAAAGAAAAAAATAATATCTGCTAATATGTGAGCAGTATCATCGTCATCACCACCATTGTCGTCTACATTGCTGTGGACCAAATGTTTGTGCCCCTGCAAAATCCATAGGAAACCTAACTTTCAAGGTGATGGTTTAGGCCTTTAGGTGACACTTAGGTCATGAAGGCAGAGCCCTCATGAATGAGATTAATGCTTTTATATAAAGAGACCTCAGAGAGCTCCCTCACCTCTTCTTCTACGTGAGGGCACAGCAAGAAGACTGCTGTCTGTGAAGCAGCAAGGGTGCCCTCACCAGACACTGAATCTGCTGCTTCCTGATCTTAAGCTTCTCAGCCTCCAGAATTGTGAGAAATTGTTTATAAGCCACCCAGTCTATGGTATTCAGTTAAAGTAGCCTGAGTGGGCCAAGAGAACAACCACCACCGCCATTGTCATCATTTCCAGTCTCTATAAGCTTGCTTGTATCAGCTTTGCTTGAGGTGTGTTTAATTCTCACAGTAACCGTAGGAGTTAGATACTTGTTGCATCCTCATTTCACCCTTGAGGAAACTGAGGCAGGGAAATGTTCAATAAATTGTCCAAGGTCACACAGCTGATAAGTAGCAGAGCTGGAGTTCAAAGGCAGGCCATCTGGCACAAGAGTCAGCTTTGAACCATTTCCTCCTGCCTCTCGTGGAGGAAATGTGTCCCTGACAATTCCTTCACCTGTGAGCTGGAAGGAAGGAAGAACTCGACAGCAGCCAGCTCCCTTTGCCTCGGCATCTGCATGGTGTTGGTTTCTTCTTCACTGTAGAGCTCCCCTAAGTTTTATGTTATAATCAAATGTGGTCAGCATTTGCTTATGGAATTTGATTTAGCTGGACAGTGTCTCTCTGTAAATTTTACAGATGGAGTGTCTCTTGAAGACAGAGTGGCCATGGGTCTCAGGCCTTGGGTGTCACGGTGGGAGCACACACGGTTGCTTTAATAAATGAGCAGAGAGCATGGTTGGCACCCGGCCCAAAGGACCTTGTTGACTGGTGGGCACATGGTATGTTACATCTGTCATTGTGAGAGAATTCCTCATCTTCCCACAGACATTATCTTGCCAAAGCACTTTTGCTTCCATCTCATCCTTTCCTTGGACAAGTCATCTATAATCTCTCAAGCAGGGGCCTGGTCTGCCTCCTGCCTTCACCCTTGTAGGGAATGGTGGTTTCTTCTTAGGATGACTGGGAGCTCCTTGGCTCAGAATGGGTTAACTCCAACCCGGGCTGCCTCCTGAGGACCTGTCCCCCTGGATCACTGTTGGTTTTAATCTTCATTATCTTGAATGGCAATGCTGTTAGCACCCAGGAGGGGTCCTTGAACAGCCAGATGGTGGCTGGATTTTTCTGCCAGTCATCAGTTTTCATCTGATTGCAGTGCAGGTGCAGGGAGGAGGAGGGGTTTTAGTAGTCCCCATGCCTTCCAGTGTTCAAGCACATTCCTCCAGGAACCATTAAAGGAACTATTAAGGCTGGGAGAATTTTTGAGAGGTAATATAGTGGATTCATTCACTTAATAAATATTTATTGAGCACCTACTGTGTGCCAGGAACTGTACTAAGCACCGGGGATACAGGAATGAGCGAAGCAAAGCCCTGTCCCAGTGGATCTTATAGTAAACAAACAAATAGGTATGAAATACGTCAGGTGGCATGGAGTGGTGAGAAGGGGAAATATGGCAGTTTAATGGTAGTGGGGTCAGAGGCTCTCTGGGCCATGCGTGAAGGGTGGGATGATGCTGTTTTAGAAAAAGAGACTACAAGACCGGGTGCGGTGGCTCACACCTGTAATCCCAGCCCTTTGGGAGACTGAGGTGGGCGGATCACTTGAGGTCAGGAGTTCGAGACCAGCCTGGACAACATGGCGAAACCCCGTCTCTATTAAAAATACAAAAATTAGCCAGGCACGGTGGCACGTGCCTGTAATCCCAGCTACTAGGGAGGCTGAGGCAGGAGAATCGGTTGAACGTGGGAGGAGTTGGTTGCAGTGAGCCGAGATCACGCCACTGCACTCCAGCCTGGGCAACAGAGCAAGACTCTCTCAAAAAAAAAAAAAAAAAAAAAAGAAAAAGAGACTTCACAAAGCATCTCTGAGAAAGTAGCATTTGATCTAGCACTGAATGAAGTGAGAAAGCGAGCCTCTGAGATAATTGAGGAAGAACATTCCAGCGAGAGGGAATAGCAAGTACACGGACCTTGATTAGCAAGGAGGCTGTGGTGGCTGAGTAAAGCTAGGGAATGCTATACACCAAATTTATGCACAAAGAACTTTTTTCCTTCTCTTCTTGTAGCATTATTATGTTTTCTCATTCATCCGTTTATGCATGCATTCATTTAGTAATTCTTTACTGAAGCTAACATTGGTGTTGGGCACAACGTTAGGGACTGGGACTTTAGACTTCAGTGTGTTCCTTTGGGGAAACCACAGGGGTGCTGGGTGCTGGCATGGAAGGTACCCTCAGAGTTGTCTTTCTCAACGTCGCTTACTTCTCACTCCTCCTTCATCACTAGGCTTCAAAGAAGAGCCTGTGGCTAAAGTTTTCACTTTCTTAGCTTTGCCACCCAAACCTGGCTTCCTTCCCACAAGCTGCTGCTGTGTGCTGTTGATGACCTAGTTGTCAGATCTAAGCACCTTTCTTCTATCCTCATCTTTTCTGAACTCTGCAGTGGCACTTCATGCCATTGACCATCTCCTTCCTTGTTTAGAAGCCTTTCTGTCTGCCTTCCTTGAAGAGGACTCTCTCAGGATGCCCTGGATTCTTTAAGAACTCCCATCCAATCACCTGTGTCAGCGTCTCTCTTCCTGCCCTTCAAAGGCAGGTCACCTGCAGGTTCTGTGGCTTCTTCTCATGGATCAACTTACTCCCTTGGTATGTGAATTACCCCATCTGTCCTACTGGCACCTTTAAACTTAGCATCTTCAGTGCAGAGCTCATCTTCTCCCCTCCTGAGAATTCTTCCTTTACACTGCGTCTCTTCTGGTGAATACACCTTTGTCCCCTTCCGCCATCTCATTTCTTCTCATCTGCCCAAATCTTAGCAATTTCTGTAATACTCTCTGATATCATCTCTTTTATTCTAGTTCTTCTGCTCCCTGGGCTAAGTCTTCCATAGGACAATGGCTTTCAAACTGTGCTTCTCAGCCCTGCAGTATGCATCACCTGGGAACTTGTTGGAAATCCAAATTATCCAATCCCACCCTCGATCTCTATAATCCGAAACTCTAGGGGAGGAGGTGTTGAGGGGAGGGCAGCAATCTGTTTGAACAAAGCTCTCCAGGTGACAGTGATGTTCCTAAAGTTTGGGAACCGCTGAAGTAGACAGTGGAAGTAGCTTCCTTCCCAGTCTCCGTGACGGGCCCACTTGGCTCTACACCACGATGTCAGCTTTTTCTTCGAAAAGAACAGCCCTGATGTGATGCCTCTTCTCATCACACGCCCTCTGTGGCTCCCGCATTGGCCACGATGGGACAGATGTGAGTTCGTATTGTCCAGGAGTGAATTCAGGCCAGAACTTTTGCACTTATTTCCACTTTTCGGGGCTAACCCAGAATTGCTTTTTAAATGTACATTATATCCCTTTGTAAAGATGTGTCTCATTTTTTGCAGTCCATGTGCCAAAAGTTTATGTGTATTTTTTTGGCGGGGGGACAGAGGGGCGAGGAGGGTAATAGGACCTTCTTTTCAGTAAACTCTTTTTTTTGAGACCGGGTCTTGCTCTGTCACCCAGGCTGGAGTACAGTAGTGCGATCTCGGCTCACTGCAAGCTCCGCCTCCCGGGTTCACGCCATTCTCCTGCCTTGGCCTCCCGAGTAGCTGGGATTACAGGTGCCTGCCATCATGCCCAGCTAATTTTTTTTTTTTTTGTATTTTTAATAGAGACGGGGTTTCACCGTGTTAGCTAGGATGGTCTCGATCTCCTGACCTTATGATCTGCCCGCCTCGGCCTCCCAAAGTGCTGGGATTACAGGAGTGAGCCACCGTGCCCGGTCCAGTGAGCTCTTTTAAATGTCTTAGGAGAAAGCATTGATAAAAGTAGCTTTTGTTTGATAGGCTGCATCTTCTGGGTAATCCGGGGTGAATTGCCTCCATCCCAGACCCTTTTCAGGTGGAGGAGGCTGGGGTTAACTGATTTCTAAGGCTATTTCCAGCTTGGATATTCTAGGGTGAGATGGGTGTTGACTCTCATTTATCTGTTTTAAAGGGTTAAATTTTTTTTTATTGTTTTTTTAAAAAATGAGTTAAGATGAGAACTATTGTAGGCCAATGATAACAGGCTCCAATTCCTGAAACCTGTAGCTGTTCCCTGATTTGGAAATAGGAAAAGACCCTTTGTGGATGTGGTTAAGTTAAGGATCCTGAGATGAGAGAAGCATGGATTGTCCAGGTGGGTACTAAAGGCAATCACATGTCTCCTTATAAGAGGGAGGCAAGGCCGGGTTGATGGCTCTCGCCTGTAATCTCAGCATTTGGGGAGGCCGAGGCGGGCGGATCACAACGTCAGGAGTTTGAGACCAGCCTGGCCAAGATGGTGAAATTCTATCTCTACTAAAAATACAAAAATTAGCCGGGTGCGGTGGTGGATGCCTGTAATCCCAGCTACTCAGGAGGCTGAGGTAGGAGAACTGCTTGAACCCAGGAGGCGGAGGTTGCAGCGAGCCGAGATTGCGCCATTGTGCTCCAGCCTGTGCGACAGAGCGAGACTCCATCTTAAAAAAAAAAAAAAAAGGTATGCAAAGGGAGATTGAACACATAGGAGAAGGCAGTGTGACCCTGAGGGTAGAGACTGCAGTCATGCAGCCACAGGTCAAGGAATGCTGGCACTTATCAGAAGCTGCAAGAGTCGAGTAATAGATGTGTTTTCCCTGGAGTCCCTGGAGGGAGCACAGCCCTGCAGCACCTTGATTTTGGACTTCTGGCTTCCAAACTTGTGAGAGAGTTATGTTTCTGTTGTTTTAAGCCACCGTTTGTGCTATAGCAGACGTGGAATTTTACCACTATATTAAAAAAAGACAGAAGTGAACACTCCTGTGTTGAAATGTGATCTGGACAGCGGGTCTCTCTGTCCTTGGCATTGAGGTTCCTGGCAGGATGTATGTCTTCAGCACTGCCCTCCCCAGCTCTGTGCTCTTACTCAAGAGTGGCAGTTTCTGTCTCCCAGCCTTGTCCCTCCATTATAACGCCTTCCCACATCCACACCTGCTGTTTTGTTTTATTAATTGCAGCTGGGGAATGTAGCAGCTTCCAGTCTCTGTTGGAGTCAGGATTGATGGGTAGTGGGAAAAAGCCACAGTGGGCTTCGTTCCCTCTCTCTGTCACCATCTGATATGGTTTTGCTGTGGCCCCACCCAAATCTCACCTTGAATTGTAGTTCGTGTAATCGCCAGTGTCATGGGAGGGACACAGTGGGAGGTAATTGAATCAAGGGAGCAGTTACCCGTATGCTGTTGTCCTTGTGTTAGTGGTGACAGTGAGTGAGTTCTCACGAGATCTGATAGTTTTAGAAGGGGCTTTCCCTCCTTTTGGTCAGCGTTTCTCCTTGCTGCCACCATGTGAAGAAGGACATGTTTGCTTCCCCTTCCATCATGATCGTAAGTTTCCTGAGGCCTCCCCAGCCACCCTGAACTATGAGTCAATTAAACCTCTTTCCTTTATAATTACCCAGTCTCGGGTATGTCTTTATTAGCAATTACCCAGTCTCGGGTATGTCTTTTATTATAATTTATAAATTACCCAGTCTCGGGTATGTCTTTATTAGCAGTGTGAGAACAGACTAATACCCCATCCCATATTTGGGGACTGGATAAATATCCGTATTCTGAAATGAACAAACTGTTCTCTGGAACATTCCTTTACAAAGGATTTCCTTCATAATGCAAAGTCATTTGGGGCTCCTCCATAGTGCTTTGTAGTAGAAGCCAGCATTCTCTGCAGAGCAAACTGGGGGAATTGTCTGAGAAGCTCAGTCTTTAAGTTGCTCATCGACTGATCAACTGCTGGAATGACAAATCATAGCATTTTAAGACTGGTCCCTGGAGATGACCAAATTCACTTCCCTCATCTTGCAAATAAGAAAACAAAGACCCAAAGTGTTCCTGGGATGAGCTGTAGTAGAACATAGCATTATACTTGGCCCTTGCTGACCACCTGTGTCTGTCCCTTCTTCCCCAAAACTGTGCAAAAATATGTTGCTGGACAATAGCTGTTATTATATTCAGTGTTATAAACTGACATTTATTGAAGCCATATCGTGTACCAGTACTTCTCTTGACACTTTTCTTGTATTAAGTCATTTCATTTTCATTATAGTCCTATGAGTTACATGCTACTATTATTAGAAAATGTTTGGACTTTATAATTGGTCATATTTTTAAATTCTGGAGTCACCATTTTGTGGTTAAATATAAACCTCGTGTGTAGAGTGGGGGTCATGTGGTTCCAGCACAGGTCCTCAATGAATGTCTACAGGTGAAAGGAATAACATGAATGAGTGTGTAAGTGATATGGTTTGGCTCTGTGTCCCCACCCAAATCTCTTGTCAAATTGTAATCCCCATGTGTTGGAGGAGGGGCTTGGAGGGAGGTGATTGAATCATGGGGGTGGACTTCCCCCTTGCTGTTCTCGTGATAATGAATGAGTTCTCACAAGATCTGATTGTTTAAAAGTGTATAGCATTTCCCCTTTTGCTCTCTCTTTCTCCTTCCACCATGTGAAGGCATGCTTGCTTCCCCTTTGCCTTCTGCCATGATTGTAAGTTTCCTGAGGCTTCCCAGCCATGCTTCCTGTACAGCTTGCAGAACTGAGAGTCAGTTAAACCTCTTCTGCTTATAAATTACCCAGTCTCAGGTAGTTCTTAATAGCAGTGTGAGACTGGACTAATATAGTAAATCATGGACTTGGGGAAATACATATAATGAAGAAATGTTGGTCAATAAAATGTTAGCAAAACTCAATCGGGCATGTGGCATCAACCTTTTGGGTCTATCATTTTCTCATCTGTAAAATGAGGATAATGATATCAGCCTTAAAGGATTGTTCTAAGGATGTGATGGGATAATAATATAAGTACTTACCATGATGGCTTGAAGTTACTGAGCACTCAGCTAATGGCAATAATTACTATTAACTGGTAGACACTTAACAGGGCAAATGAGGAATGAACCATCACTGGGCTGTGGGGTGGTGCTCTCGGGTAACTGTGAAGCCCTGTATCGAGACGTGCCCTTTAAACAGGACAGCATGGAGGAATGAACTGCAGATGACTCAGTTCGAACAAAGATATCCTGACCCCAAAGGGCAGCAGAAAGAGCTCTCTCCATAAATGGGCCTAGCTGGAAAATTCCTCACTATCTATGGGGAAGGCACAATGGGCAGGAGAAGTCATTGGCTGTGTGCAGATGCATCTGTCTACAGTCACACTGTGTATAGGGATGAGTCATTGCTGTGTCCTCAGATGCGGAGGGCAAGGACAGGGACAAATCATGTCGTCGGACCTATCTGAGGGGTGCGTGAGGCTGTGTTCTGGAAGTGTGGCTGGACCTCATTTCCTTTTCCAGTTACAAGTTCCATGTAAACTTAGATAAGCTATTGTAATTATTTTTTACTTCCTGATAGATAGCAAGATGGTTAACTGAGATGAATATTTATTGACCTCTACTCTGTACCAGGCACTGTATCAGATTCTGGGAAGACAGGATGAAAACATAAGGCTTCTGTCCTTGGGCAGCTTATTACACAGGCAAGGAAGCCAGCATTAACAGGTGTACCATGATGCTGTGAAAGCATTTATACATGTGTACATACACACACACAGACACACAGCCTTTGGGCAGCCAAGGTATGTGCTATGGTCTGTGTTGAAGCTCATGAATTTTTCTCATGGGAAGACCTCTAGACTGTTGAGTCATGACTTGTTATTCTTTTTTAATACATCATTTATATTTGTCAGGATGGATTAGGTTGTGCTATTTATATGGACAACCCCGATATCTCTGTGTGGTTGAAATAACAAAGATTTATTTCTTGTGCAACACATTCATCTGTGGTAGGTGTATAGGTGGGGTGTTTTATTCTTCCCCAGGTAACTTATACCCTGGGATGCTGGTGTTTCCACTAGCTGGAGTGTCATAGATCACTGTGGCCAGAGGAAATTGGAACTTGGGGGATCATGTTCTACTTCTGGCTTTTGCTTACAGTTCATTGGCCAAAGCAAGTTACATGGCCACTGCTCACTTCCAGGCGCTGAGGAAGATCATTCCTACGTGTGACTGGAAGGATAGAAACCAGAGGATTTCTGATAGCCTTAACGACTTCCCCTTTGTTCTGACCAGCTTTTTACATTTACATTTCTTTCTTTTAATTCATATTACTTTTTTGAGATGGAGCCTTATTCTGTCACCCAGGCTGGAATGCAGTGGCGTGATCTCGGCTCACTGCAACCTCCGCCTCCTGGGCTCAAGTCATTCTCTTGCCTCAGCCTCCCGAGTAGCTGGGATTACAGACGTCTGCCACCACCCCGGCTAATGGTTGTATTTTTAGTAGAGATGGGGCTTCACCATGTTGGCCAGGCTGGTCTCGAACTCCTGACCTCAGGTTATCTTCCTGCCTCAGCTTCCCAAAGTACTGGGATTACAGGTATGAGCCACTGCACTTTGCATTTCTAAGCTCTTACTGTGCCTGGGCTACATTTGCATTTCTAAGCTATGGGAGATCAGCACAACAGTGCATTTGAAAGGGGAACTTCAGATGCCGGCCAGAAACCTGAGCAAGAAGTGACAATCTGACCTCTAAGAGAAGTATAGGAAAGCCCTGCCTACCAGCTATAAGAACTCAAACTGGGGCAGAATGGAACCATGGCATAGGGTAGGGCTGATTGTCCAGACATGTTTGTAGCTCCCAAGGGCACACATAGTGCTGTTGGCAGCTTAGTGAGATTTAATGCTACATAGTGCCTATACCAGGCATCAGGCCAAGGTTGGGAATACATAATTAACCGGGATCATTAAGAAAAATTTAGAATATATTTATTATAGATTACAAGATCAGGGAAGTATCTTTTCACTTAGTTAAAACTAAATATACCCGCAATAGAAACAGCTCTTTAAAAAAAAAAAAAAAAAACCTAAAAAAGTCACTTAAACGGAACCTGAGTGATTGGGACATCACTGTTTATAGTTTTCCATTTCCTTCACATGAAGTTTTTAATGCACTTGGGCAGGCTTTTCAGTCTAATTCCTCTGTTCCTATTTTTTTCTTATCCATCATAATGATTGTTGAAGATTTCCAATAATGTATTGAAAATTGAACTCCTTTGATAGCATATACACACATGTATGTATACATGCACACACCTTTCTGCTGGGAAAAATATGGACTTCAGTGGTCAAAGGGAGTCATTGATTGGGGCTAAGGAGGGTACAAGTCATCATTGGAGCAGACTTGCCTGTTACCTCCACTCTGTTCCCCTTCTCGGCATGCTCTTAGACGCTCTTTACGCAGGCTGGTGGAGAGAAATCTTTCTAAATACCTTTGGCTCACTTTCTTGGACATCCTTACCATCTCATTAGTCAGACAAACATTTGTCAGACGTGGTTTATATCTGTAAGGCATGGTGGGGAAAGAATGAGAAGTGTAAGTCATGGCCTCTGCACTCTAGGAGTTTATCATTTCAGGATGGGGAGGTAAACTAGTGTTTGCTTGCTGTGTGTCAGGCACTGTTCCAAGCTTTTTTTTTGGCTGCACCATCTCCTTTGACCCTACAGTAGCCCTCAGTAGCTGCCATTTTTTTCTAACTTCGTAACGATGAAGACATCGAGACTTGGAGAAGATAACCAACATCGTCTGTGCTTAGGAAGTGACAGCATTTGTGGGTGAAGCTGGGATTCTCCTAATGCCCTCTCTGCCTTTGTCACAACATCTGCCAGCCATGAAGCAATTAGAGATTCTTAAACTGGAGGAGAATCTTGGGAGGACAGAGATATTTGTTTGTTCTCTTCACCACTGTATCCCTGGTGACTAAAGAGAAGTCTGCAATAGATACGGTGGTGATTAAGGAAGATTCCTGCCCTCAAGGAGCTTGCAGTCCAGGGTTGTGAAACTGACGAGTAAATGTATTGTGTTGGTGCAGGGTGTCAGCTACCCTGGAACAGAGAGCCATGTGGGAGGCAGAAGAGGGGGTGGTGCACTTAGCCCAGGAGGAGCCTCTGGAGGTTGGTTAGACAGCATGTGTCTCCTGAGCAGCAGCAGGGACAAGGACTAGAAGAAAAGGGCAAGTGTGGATATAGCAAGCCTGGTTCAGGTGCCACGATGAATGAGAAGGTGGTGAATCAAATGGTAGCATTGGGGTAGAGAGGAAGTATAGGGCCTGGCAATATAATTGCTGTGTGATTAATATTTTTCTTCTTTATTTTATCCTATAGTATTTAGCTCCAACACTTTAAAATGAGAGGCTGTGGATGGTGGCTCAAGCCTATAATCCTAGCACTTCGGGAGGCTGAGGCGGGAGGATTGCTTGAGGCCAGAAGTTCTAGACCACTTTGGGCAGCACCACGAGACCCCCATCTCATCTCTACTTAAAATAAAAAATTAGCCGGGCATGGTGGCATGCGCTTGTAGTCCCAGGTACTCAGGAGGCTAAGGTGGGAGGATCTGTTGAGCCCCCGAGTTTGAGGCTATAGCGAGCTAGGATTGTGCCACTACCCTCCAGCCTGGGTGACAAAGTGAGACCCTGTCTCTAAAAAAATTAATAAACATAAAATGAGAATAGAAGTTATGGCAATATGCTATGGGAGAAAATAAAGGGAAGAAAAATTAAAAACATCTATTGTCAGGCCTTATGTCAGATCTTATATGGGGGGTTTTGCAAATTTTCATTATTTAATCAGCATAACTATTCCTTTAGGCAGGAAGAATGGTACATTAGTTAAAGCAGGCTGAATGGACCCCCAAATTCATAATGACCCGGGATGTTTATTTTGCACTCACAGAATGAGTAACTATGTGGGGTGAGTGAAAGCAGGGGAGGTGTCTCTGCTCCACACAGTGACCCTGGCCTAAGGAAACACCCTGGACCATCCACATGCAAGCTCTAGACACTGATGTCCAGCCAGCAGAGGGCATTACCTGCGGGTAGGGCCCACATCACGCTGCACATGTCCTACTGGCTAGGACTTGGTCACATGGTCACACCTCACTGTATAGAGGCTAGGAAGTGTCTCATCCTGTGCCCAGGCTTTGGTGAACAGCTAGCTGTCCACAAATGGCCCAGAGTATAGGAGAAGAAACTGAGTTTCTTAGAAACACACAAATTTCCTTAGGGTTACAGAGATTTTTTATGGAGTAGGCAAGGTTCAGATTCAGGGCAGTCTTTCACCCCATGGGAAAGTGGAAAGGGTGGTTGAGGAGGTGGGGATTAAATGAGGTGGATTTAGTGGGATTAGGTAATTAATAAAGGTAACTTAATTATTTGAAGTCAAGGCAGTTGACTTCAACCCTTAGATGATGTCAAGGGCTGGAGCTGGTGCTAAGGAGGCTCGGTGGGGAGGTTTGTTGGTATCAGGGAAATTAAGGATTTGGTGAAACAGCCTGTGGATGGATAGCCACAGGCCTGCTGGAGTTGCCCTGGATGGTGACGTAGTTGGCAAGGGGAGAAAAACCTGAGATTGTTAGAGGACAGCAGAGGGATAGAGCTTGTGACCAGAAGGTCTGAACTTTAAAAATGTCATCCAGAGCATTCATATGTGTGGAATAGCTCATTTTTCAGCTCTGCCATGAACTTTGTAGAATATTAGCGCAATGAAGAGCTTTGTACTCACACACCACTGGGAGAAGACATAATGAGATATGATGATGGGACTGACAAAAGTTGGCTGTTGTGATCCATACTTTTGGATCCCAAAGCCCCCAGGAGCCCGTGTGAACTCTGAAGTGGTTTGACATCTGGGACTGGGCTGCTGGTGACGTCACTCCATCCAGTCCTCCTCAAACTGGTGGCCTTTGAAGTTGTTTTTGAGCATGATGATAAATCAGCCATCAGTTGGTATTTATTGAGCACATACCATGTGCCCAAGTAATTAGGCACCCGTTTCTGGGATGGTGCTGGGAAATAGGAATGCGGTGTAGCCTGCAGCCCTAATCAGAATCTAGTTGTGGAGAGACTAATAGAACTTTCAGCCCACCCAAGGGAGACCACAGTGTACAGACTTCCTGAAGGTGGGGGAAGTCCTGGACTCTTGCCCTGCTGAGTTCTTACCCTGCCAATTTGCCTCGAAAAAGCCACTGGGCTCCCTGGTCCTTGGGTGTCTAAAGTGTTTAACAACCAACAAAAATCACAGGCAAATCTGCTTTGTTTTCATTGTTCGGTAGGTATTTGCTGTGTATCATTTCTTCTGGTCCATGAAGCACAGCAGGGCAGGATACAGAGAGGCTGCCCTCAAGAAGCAGAAGGAACAATTTTAATTTATTCAGGAGGGAAAAGTTAGGCTTTTACAGGCTATCAACAAATACTGATTGGGAACCTCCCTTTTTCTAGGGCTCTTCTCAGGGCCACAGTCCCCCTTCTTTCTCTCAGGTCAGTTACAAGCTGGTGCAGCTGCTGAATGAACTTCCTCCCCTCCTCTTTTCTCCCTCTTATTCTTCCTTCCTTCCCCTGTCCTATATTTATTCAGAAAATATTCATTGAACACCTACAATTTATCAGGCTCTGGAAAGACATCCCTGAGTGAGTTGATAGGGTTCCTGTCCTTGTAGAGTGTATGTTCTCCTTGCAGCGACAGACTACAAACAAACTATAAGCAAATACGATGATTTCGGATTTTAACCCATGCCCTGAATCAACTGAAGACAGCAGGGTTTGGTAAGTGACTTGAGGGGGCACAGCTGGATGGGAAGGTGTGAGTCTCAAGAAGCCCTATGAGAAGGAGCTACCATGTGGCTGGAGGACCAGTGCCTAATCCAAGGGTGGAGACATGAACCATCCCCATTTTTACAGGAGAGAAACTAAAGCATAGAACCTGTCCAAGGTTAAATTAGTTGTGGATCTGGGGTCTGAACCTAGGTCATCTGCCTGTAAAGGCCCTTCCTCCACAGTGTGAAGCTGCCTGCACCACCATGCTACCCTGTTCTTCCTTCCTCTCCTCCCCCTTTCCTCCCTCTCCTCCCCCTTTCCTCCCTCCTTCAGCTTCTCCATCTATCATGAGTGGATAATGATTTTGTCCTACCTTACCGCTGACCCCCTTGATAATATTGACCTAGCGGGGAAGTTGTAAGGCATAACTAATAAAAATGACAATGAAGCATTTGCCAACAGAAGGTGTACTACTGAATGCTAATATCGGTGAGAGCCTGTCTGTGATGCTAGGGCAGATTTATTAGACAGCTGTTTAGCCAGCATGAGTTTCCCTGCCCCCAACTTCACCAGGCAGCTGAGTCCAGTTCGAGCAGCTCTGTGCTCTAGACTTTTGCTGTTACCTCTCTGTGGTCCCTTCTTATCTGGATGTGCAACAACCCAAACACTCTTTTCTGCAGTGGATTGGGCTTGGCTGTCAGGAGAACAATGGATAGCGTGCTGGGTATGCAGCCATGAAGGTTGTGGGGTCTGCCCCACGGGTCCCCTGCGAAAGAGAGAGAGAGAGAAACACAAACGAGTGATCTGTCTATGGCTGTAAAATGGGGTGGCAGTACTGACTCCCTCATAGAGCTATTTCAAGCATTAAATGAATTTATATATATGCAAAGGGCTTAGAAAGTATCTAATAGACAAGTGCTTTAAATACCTCTAAGTGGAGGTGTCAGTACCTGCAAGTCTACTGATATTTGACTTTGAAAATGTGTGCCTTCAAAGGGGCTAGATGGGAGACAAGGCTGTTGGCAAGCACCAGGTTGTGAAGAAACTTGTGTGCCTGGCAGAGGCGAACCATAGGGAAACTGCCGAGCCTCCAGTGTATATATTTGATTGTATGTATATGTGTATGCATGTATGTATGTCTATATACGTATACACATGTGTGTATGTATAGAAACACATATATACACATATAAATGTATATGTGTGTGTTTGTATATACATGCACCCCTCCACCCCGACTTCCCAGGGTCTTAGCTGTAGGGGCAGATTGTGGTGGGTGAGGTCAGGTTGAGGAGAATGACTTGAGTGAGAGAGGCACTTAGAGGAGGTTGGCAGTGCGTTAGACTCACTTTTCCTGGAGAGCATCCTGGAATTTGAAATGATTGAGAATGAACACTGCGTTGTGAAAAGGATATTAATTTTGGTGGCCAGATATGCCTGAATTTGAATCTTGGCCCCAAAAACATTGTCTGTCTGTATCTGTCTTTCTGTATCTGTCTGTCTGTCTGTCTGTCTGTCTGTCTGTCTGTCTGTCTGTCTATCTATCTATCTATCCATCCATCCGTGCATCCGTCTGTCTGTATGTCCACCCGCCCTCCCGCCTGCCTGCCTGCTATGGTCTGAATGTTTACACCCCCTCAGAATTTGTATGCTGAAATCTAACCTGCTGTGTGAGGGTATTAGGAGCTGGGCCTTTGAGCAGTGAGGTCTTGAGGGTGGAGCCTACATGAGTGGGATTAGTGCCCTTAAAAATAGACACAAGGGAGCCTTTCACCATGTGAGGACGTAGCAAGAAGACGGCCATCTGTGAACAGAAAGCAGACTCTCACCAGACACTGAATCTGCTGTTGTCTTGACCTTGGACTTCCCAGCCTCTAGAACTATAAGAAATAAATGCCTGTTGTTTATAAGCTACCTAGTCGGTGGCATTTTGTTTTAACAACTTGAACAAATTAAGAGTCTGCCTACCTACCTGGAAGCCAGACTGCTTATGGAGGATGAAACCAAGCATGAAAATCCAGATGCTGTCCTGCCCTGTTCATGGATGAATTTTTGCTCTTCATTTCTTCGCCCGCAGCCCACAGAGGTTGCTCGCTGAGTCAGGCCTGGAGTTCCCATCACTCTTAGACCTTTTTTATTTGTAAAAACAGTGTGGGCATCAGAACACCAGGCCATGTCTTTGTTTGCTTATTTAATGACAACATTGAATGCGAAAGAGGAAAAGTTTGGAGATAATTGGACTCAGGAGGGTTGCCTGTGTTTTTGGAGGTGATGAACAGTTGATAGTCTCATAAGTAGTACTTATGATGATCTGCAAATGGTTCAGCAGCTGAATCTCTTACTTCCACGGCACCTCTCCTCGTGATTTTACTCTCCCCACAAACCCTTTCTGGTTCTCTGCAGATGCATGAGACTGCACACTCACAGGGCTCTGCTGAGCCGTCTGCATGGATGTGAATACATACATGCCTTCCGGTGTGGTTCACAGAAAGACAGAGTTCAGATCCTTGCTACAATTCTCTGCTGAGAACTCATGGCCAGGCAGTCTCTTCCCTGAAGTGGCAAGCCCAGGTGTGTGAGTCCCTGGGCTGGGTTGATAGACAGATGTTTGCACTTTGCACACTATCAGATTACTAAGAATGGTTCTTGGCTGAAGAGTCCTTTCTGGTTGTAGAAGCCACCATCAAAAGCCAGTCCCTCAACCACTTATTTTAAAACAGATGAAGGCAACCCAGTGCTTTTTCTCTGATGGCACATTCTCCCCGCATGAGGAAAGGAACATAATTGGAAAATGGGCAATATTCACAGAACAATTACTGTGCCTCTTAATGAGGTTTGCATGAAGGCTTCCAGTGAATTAATGAAGAGCAATGATTTTGCCATTCACGTTGAACAGCTGGACAACAATGATAAGGGTGCAGACTGTGAGGTCTCTGGCTTAGACGAGGTGATGAGGACCGGAGGAAGTTCTAGCTTCTGCCCTTCTTCAGTTCTCCTTTGGTCTCACTACTGTCCTGGGAGAAACTGAACGTGCTAGGCTGCCAGACTGTGCCGCCCCAACAAAAAGTGAGAAGAACCAGTTTGGCTGGGCTGTGGGCTTGCATCTTCCTTGGACTGTTTTTCTAGATATATTCAGTGGCAGATCATTAAATCTCCTCCTTTACTGGGCTATTCTTATTAGGAATTATGGTGACTTTTGGAGGGCAGTGTGTCTTGCGGAAAGCAGCATACCATGTTGAGTTGAAGATATGAGTCTAAATTATGGCCTTGTCGTTTAATGTCTGTGTGTTCCTTGCACATGTTGTTTCGCTGCAGGCAGGGAGCTGCAGTTTCTTCACTTGAACAAAAGGCGATCATACTTACATAGGTGACCTGTTGTGAGTATCAAATAGCCTGTATGAAATTACATTATGCATATGTTAGTATCAGTCAGGGTTCTCCAGAGAAATGACCCAATAGGATGGTGTAGTTGTATAAACACACACACACACACACACACACACATATACCTTGATTTTAAGGAATTAGCTTATGTGATCGTAGGGCTAAGTCCAAAGTTGTGGGTAGGTTACACTGGCAGGCTGGACTCTTGGGCAGAAAATGAAGCTGTGGTCCTGAGGCAGAGGCAGAATTTCTCTTCCAGGAAAACTCAGTTTTTCCTCTTAAGGCCTTCAGCTGATTAGATGAGGCCCATCAATACAATTGAGGATAGACTCTTTTACTTAAAGTCAACTGATTGTAGATATTAACCACATCTACAAAATAACTACCAGAGCACCTGGACAGTGTTTGATTAAGTAACTGGGGACCATAGCCTAGCCAAGTTGAAACATAAAACTAACCATCACAGTCATTATTATTGTTACTGATATGTCAGGAACCAAAGTATTTGACCCTGTTGGGCCCTATTGGGGACTGTTGGAAAAGCATCATTTGCTTGCCTGACATGTGCTCAGTGTCTTAGCTTTAGGGATAGATTTTCAGGGGCGAGGTCAGGTTGAAGAGAATGATTTGAGTGATAGAGGCACTTAGAAGAGGTTGACAGTCCATCTGACTAGCCTTTCTTGGAGAGCATTCTGGAATTTGAAATGGTCGAACAAGAGTGAATACTATGTCATGGAAAGGATATTAATTTTGGAGACGAGATATGATTTACACTCTTGGCCTCAGCATGTCTTTCTTCCCCCATCGAGATACGTAAGTTAACTTCAGTGATGCTTTTTAAAGTTTTTTCTCTAAACAGGAAAAATTAATATTTACGTTTTAGGCTTGTTGCAAGAGTGTGGAGTATCTCTGGCATGATTTAAACACTCAGTAAATAATTGTTTCCCTCCTTGCATGTTTGTTCAGTGTTCATTGAGTTGTTCTAATGTGACGTTTGTTCTTATGTGGAGATTTTCCTATAAGGTATTTAAGGCTGAAGTTGGGAGCATCGTAGAATGCAAGAGTTTGGGAAAAACTGGAGATACCAGTCAAGATGGAGAAAAGGATGGAGTTCAAGGGTACCTGGGCTTCCTGTCTTCACTGTGAAGATGGATTTCACCATGAGATCTTTACTAGGCAGAAAAGATGGAACATCCTGCAGTAGTGTTTTGTCATCGAGCCCACAGCCGAGGCCGAACAGAAGCTGTATGTTGTTCCTCAATGGTTGTGTCCAAATGGGAATGAGTAAGACTTCAACATTTCTGAAGATGGATGGTCACCATTCTCAATTCTGTTTTATGTATCTGGTGGGCCGTTGAGCAGAAGAGATCCCAGATGTCAGACACATCTGTCCTCCACCAAGATGTGTGTGTGGGACATTGCTGGAACTATGTTTTGTTTCTGGTCTTGTGGCATTTGACTATCGGAGATGAACAAAAGAGCATACAATCCTGATTTATTTCCACAAGCTTCTCAGGACTAGGGCTTGACAGTCTTGCCTGGGGAAGCTTGTTGATTCTTAGAGTGGCACTAATTTTTTTTTTTTTTTTTCTTGAGACGGAGTTTTGCTCTTGTTGCCCAGGCTGGAGTGATGGCACGATCTTGTATCTTTACTAGAGACGGGATTTTGCCATGTTGGCCAGGCTAGTCTCGAGCTCCTGACCTCAGATGATCCACCTGCCTTGACCTCCCAAAGGAGTTGGGATTACAGGGGTGAGCCACTGCGCCCGGCCTAGAGTGGCACTTCTTAATGCAGTAGATGTACTTCATACCACCATTTAAACCAATACTAAGAGAATAGTCTGTATTCATATGCCAATTTGGTACCACCTAATAGGAGAAAACCAGAAAGCAAACAGTGCTAGTTGCATTAATTATCTCTGTTTTATTTGTCTTTTAATATCTTTGTCTCCTTGAGGAGGCTATGGACTTCTTGAAGGACAGACAGTTTTCATCTCTGTGCTTCATTGTCTAGCACAGGGCCTGGCGTGTTGTCAGGGCATAGTACCTGTGTGTTGAATGAGCAAATAAACTGTGAAGAAACTTCTTGATCTTTGTTGGCCTGGACAGCTGTTGAGGCTTGACTGTGCTTATGGAATGAAATATCCACACAAAGGGAAACTTGGTAATAGCCCAGAACCCCAAGGGGATCATTGCAGAGGGACTGATAGATGGACAGGATGGCCTGGTGAGGCCTGCGCCATCTGTGCCTTCAACCCGGCGGATCAAAGATGAATGTGTGATTGAGTGAGGCCTCACTGATGACAATGCACCCTGGCTGGAAAATGCACAGCAGGAGGCTCTGGTTTGAATCTCAGTTTTCCTAGGAGACCTGAATGAAGAGAAAAGGCACCGCAGTATGCAAAGAGAGAGTCATCACTTGTGCATGTGTCTGGGGGAAGTAACGAATAGAAGACATTACATGTCAAAAAGAGCCTCGTCCAAAATGAAGCCAAGTGACTGTCACAAGTTCTGGGCAGGTGAGATGCTGTGTCAGAACCGTGAGAAGGCAGGGGAGGCCAGGCACAATTCCCAATATGTTTTAGAGCATACCTGGAGCTTAGCATAGCCCTAACTTCATGGTCCAGCCCTTTGGGGCATGTGCTCCTGGAACCTTAGCTATTAAGTGCCCTTGAGTGGGAAAATAAATGAGTTTTTAATGTCTGTGTGTACATGTTGTTAATCGTTTTCTGCATTTGCCACCTGGGTTGAACCTGTCAAATTAGTTTCCAGTAGTCCCTTTTAATGCATTGTTATATACCCAAGGTGGAAATCTCAGTCATCCTTAGAGACTTTCTGTAGCCAATTTCCCCTTTCCTTGTTCCTCTCTTACTTAGGTCATGCAATTGAGCGCTAAGCCCGGGTCAGCCCATTTCCTGTGTTCTGGTCTTTTTCTTTCCATTTGTCACAGTTCTGGGCTGGGCTCCCATTATCCCTGGCCTGAAGTATTTCACTAGCTGATGCTCCGGCCTCCTCCTTCCTGTGTCTCCTAATCCATCATTCTTATACTGCCAGAATGACTTTTCTAAGGCTCAGAGCAGCTCATGACATTCCCTGCTAGAGCCTCTTTGATTACTTCTTCTTGCCTCTAGAAAAAGTTTGAACAATTTACCGTGACGTAATAAAGCTGTTCCCAGTTGGGCTCTGGCCTTCTTTCCTGGTCTTGGGCCCCACCTCTATATACCAAATCATGATTTTACCACTTCCTAAATACAGCATGCTCTTCCACGTTGCGAATATTTGGGAAATCTTTTTTTCCTTGGAAAGCTGTTAACTTTTTCTCCCTGTCAGACTCCTAGTAATCCTTCAAGACTCAGGTTTTGTTGGTTGAACTGAAGCTCATGCAAATGATCACTTAAGAGGTGCTGAGATTGGCATACTTCTCCAGAGTGCCTGGCTTTAGTGTAGTGGAAATTCTCTTCAGCCACGAGCGTCCCACAAGGGAGCCTAGTTTGTTCATGTCTTTACTTGCTCTGCTAAATTATGTTTTATTAATGTGTGTGCTTGTACTGTTGCTCAGGCTACTGTGCTAATGACTGATAATTGCCTTAATGAGCTATTTGTAAGAAATACAGTAATACCAGTAGGGATGAAACCAGACCCCACCACAGCTGGTGGTCTAATAGCCTTTTGACTGACTTTATGGAGGAGCAGACTGCAGGGTTATTGCAGTTAACATAAGCAAGAGCTCAGAATCACCCACTTTTCCCTGAACACCCAATTTACCCATCTTCCACTCACGCATTAATCATGTTTATATGAGTCGGGGGCAGGTTAGGTTATGCTGCAGTAACAAATCTCGCATAGAACAAAAAAATCACTTTGGGAAGCCGAGGCGGGTAGATCACAAGGTCAGGAGATCGAGATCATCCTGGCCAACATGGTGAAACCCCGTCTGTACTAAAAATACAAAAATTAGCTAGGCACGGTGGCGCACACCTGTAGTCCCAGCTACTTGGGAGACTGAGGCAGGGAAATTGCTTGAACCCGGGAGGCGGAAGTTGCAGTGATCCAAGATCGCACCATTGCAGTCCAGCCTGGGCAACAGAGCAAGACTCCATCTCAAAAAAAAAAAAAAGAAATTCATCCCTCACCCTGTACTACAAGTCCATCACAGGCTACTCATGGCACTGCTGCATGCTGTCTTCACTCTGGGATCCTGATAGTGAGGCAGTCTCTATCAGTACTCTTGCTAGTCCTTAAGATAGAGAGAAAAGGGCGCATAATGGTTCTTAAAGCTTGCAGTGAGTTGCATGCATTCGTATTTCATTGGCCAGAGTAGGTCCCATGGCTGTTCTGGGGCAGAGAAGTTCTACCTTGATGTGCTCAGAGCTGAAGAGCTGATATTTGTGAACAATATGAGAACCACCACACCATGGTAGAATCTTGGATTCATGTGCCTTATGTAATTTGCTTCTGGGGAGTCAAGAGGGAGATTTTGTTGCCTTCAGCGGAGGTCCAGAGAGTACTGTGGGACCAAGAGTATCGGGCTATGGCTTTGGGTTCAGCCAGTCCTTGGTTCAGATCCTGACCAGCACTTGCTAGCTATATGATCTTGGTCAGTGTAAACTCTCTCAACCAATTTCTTTACCTGCAAACGTGAAAACAGCAATACCTATTTTATAGGATTGTTACATATTCCATGAGATAATGGGTTGAAAAGTTTTATAATTTTGTCATAATAAATGTTAGTTCTCTTCCCATCCCCCATGCTGTGTCTTGTTCAGAGTGAGAGATCTGGTGTCTGTTGCATGCAGACTACTGTAGTTTTTTTTCTGTGCTCTCCTGGGTGGTAGCAACACCCGCCTATAACTACAAGTGCTTGAAATGTGGCTAGTACCACTGAGGAACTGAACTGCAAATTGTAAAATCTTTATTACATCTAAAAAGTGAAGCAGTGTAAAGTTTTTTTGTTTTTTTTTTTAACACAAGCTTCTGGTTTTGGAGGTACTATTTCACTTCAGTCATTGAAAATTTAGCACCCCAATTGAGATGTACTTAAGTGTAAAATATGCATCTGATCTTGAATATTTAGTATGGAAAACTATAAAATATCTCATTGGTTATTTTTATATTGATGATATGTTGAAATAATATTTTCATACATTGGAGGAAATAAGGTATATTATTTAAATTAGTTTCACCTGTTAGCTCTTTTTAAAATGTGGCTGCTAGAAAATGAAAAACTATACATGTGGCTAACTAGCATTATATAATATTTCCATTGGAAAGTGCTGGTTTAGACATGCAGAATGTGAGGCCCACACCTCTCTGGAAATTCAGACTATTCATCCATCTGTCCTTGCATCTAATAATACATATTTATTGACAACTTCCTATGTGCTATGCACAGGTGTTGTGCTAAGCTTTTGGGAACCAGTGCTGGTCAAAACAGGCATATTCTCTGAGCTCACTGCTTATTGAGGGCATGGAACATATAGTTGTGTATGTTCATAAGTATAAATGGTAGCTCCATCTAGAAAAGTGCAGGAGGCTAGGGAAATACATCACACAGGACCTGATTTTTTTTTTTTTGAGATGGAGTCTCACTCTGTCACCAGGCTGGTGTGCAGTGGCGCAATCTCGGCTCACCGCAGCCTCTGCCTCCTGGGTTCAAGCAGTTCTCTTGCCTGAGCCTCCTGAGTAGCTGGGATTACAGGCACCCACTACCACGCCCAGCTAATTTTTGTACTTTTAGTAGAGATGGGGTTTCTCCATGTTGGCCAGGCTGGTCTTGAACTCCTGACCTCGGGTGATCCGCCCACCTTGGCCTCCCAAAGTGCTGGGATTACAGGTGTGAGCCACTGTGCCTGGCAGGACCTGAGCTTTTTAATACATGGGGTGGGTGGGCGGGGTTAGGGAAGGATGTACTGAGTTTCTGAATAAGGAGAGAAGAATGGATGAAGATGGGTCTGGGATTTGAGACCCACCAGACAGTGTTAAGAGCTTGTGCCCAGGTTCTGAGGCTGAGGGGGAAATAGGTTTAATGGTGCTACTGGGTCTGTCTTCAACTACTGCTTTGGAAGTTCACAAACAGTTCATGGGAAAATGCGAAGAGGATAGACTTTGCATGAAACACTGGTTCCTTTTGCTACATCCTCAAAGAAGTGCAACTCCAGTGTACTCGTCACTGTGAAATTGATCCGGCTCACATGTGGGGTGGTGAGCATTGTCAGGGCAGGGGAATACGGGGCTTTATTCTTCTTTACGATCCCAGCGTCGTGCAGGGTGCCTTGTGCTTTGTAAACATTCCATAAATACTGTTTGATTTCATTTGCATATTACTGGAGAAGACTTACTATCTGGATTTCCCCCAACCTATTTGTGCCAAGCACCTTGGTGGTAGGGGCAGGGAGGGGCTGCTTTTGTGTTCTTGCTGAGTCTCAGCACTCTGGCAAGGCTTCATCTTTCTTTTCTCCCCATAAGGAGTTGGATGAACATAACAAGAAGAGAACAGCCTAATTTAAAAAGTGGATCAAAGACTTTAACAGATACCTCCCCAAAGAAAATATGCAGATGGCAGATAAGCACATGAAAAGATGCTCCATGTCGTTTGTCATCAGGGAAATGCAAATAAAACAACAGTGACGTACTGCTACACACTTATTAGAATGGCCAAAACCTGGAACACTGGCACCACCAAATGCTGATGAGGATGTGGAGCAACAGGAACTCTCATTTGTTGCTGTCAGAATGCAAAATGGTATAGCCACTTTGGAAGACAGTTTGGCAATTTCATATGCAACTAAACATACTTTTACCATACAACCCAGAATCTCACAACTTGGTATTTACCCAAAGGAGCTGAAAACTTACGTCCACACAGAAACCTTCACATAGGTGTTTAAAGCAACTTTATTCATGATTGCCAAAACTTGGAAGCAGCTAAGGTGTCCTTAAGTAGGTGAATGGATAAATAAACCATAGCACATCCAGGCAATGGAATATTATTCAGCGCCGAAAAGAAATGAGCCATCAAGCCATGAAAAGACATGGAAGAAATTTAAATACATATGACTAAATGAAAGAAGCCAATTTGAAAAGGCTACTTACTGTTTTCCAACTGTGACATTCTAGAAAAGGCAAAACTCTGGAGATAGTAAAAAGATCAGTGGTTGCCAGGGGTTGGGAAGAGGAAAGGATGAATCAGCAGAGCTCAGACTATTTTTAGCGCAGTAAAACTACTCTGTATGATATGTGTAATTACATATTCCTCAAAACCAATAAGATATTTATCAAAAATGAACTGTCATGTAAACAGTGGACTTTAGGCGATAATGATGTATCAATGTAGGCTCACCAGTTGTAAGAAACTTACCACTCTGATGGGGTATGTTGAGATTGGGGGAAGCTGTGCATAGGTGGGAGCAGGAGGTATATGGGAAATCTCTCTATACCTTCCTATCTTGCTGTGATCCTAAAAAATAAAGTCTATTTTTAAAAAACTAAAGACCTGGTTACGAAAGTGAATGCTTATTGAACACCTACTACATGCTGGTTCCTAATAATTAATCGTGTAGATTAATTTATTTAATCCCAAACAGTCCTGTGAGGCGGGTAACATGACTGTCCTCCTGATTGTGCAGATAATGAAACTGAGCACAGAGAAGTTAAGAAATTAACTCAGGGTCACATAGCTTGGAGGTGGGAGAGCTGGGATTTGCATACAGACACACTGTCTCTAGGGCTTTGCTTTTAATGACTTGTTGCCTTACCTGCTGCAAACAAACTGCCTATCCAGCTGTCTTTGTGGAAGTTGCATGGTTTGAAATTGCAAGGAAGAGGATTTTTTTTTTTGAGACGGAGTCTCACTGTGTCGCCCGGCTGGAGTGCAATGGTGAGATCTCAGCTCGCTGCAACCTCCGCCTACCAGGTTCAAGCGATTCTCCTGCCTCAGCCTCCAGAGCAGCTGGGACTACAGGCACGTGACACCATGCCCAGCTAATTTTTGTATTTTTACTAGAGATGGGTTTTCACCTTGTTGGCCAGGATGGTCTCGATCTCTTGACCTCGTGATCCGCCTGCCTCGGCCTCCCAAAGCGCTGAGATTACAGGCATGAGCCATCACGCCCGGCCAAGGAAGAGGATTTGAAGTCAGCTCTGAGTCTTATTATCTTCCTCCGAGTAGCACAGCTGGCATCATTGCATCACTGAGAGCCTTCTAAGCCCTGGACACGGCTCTGGGTACCCAGATTCAAAGATGGATTAGCTCTTGCCCCGTTTTCAAGGAGCTTATAGTTGAGGAGATGTCACATTGCAGGTAATTTCAATGTAATGATACAGCCATGTTCTCAGAAAGTGTTCAAGGAACTGTTTGTCCTCTTGATGTATGTGATTATGTCAAGAGTTGTTCCTGCAGAAGATCCTGTAAACACTGGGGCTGGAAAATGTGCCAGGCTTATTGGTGAGACTCTAGGCTGCCCTGGAGGCCAGACTTTTGGACTGCAGCTTGCTCACGTGTGTCCCTAGCTCCATTTGCTTCAGCTACCCACTTCTGGTTTTGGTTTCGGTATCTGATGCTCCCAACACCTCACATGAAGCTTGCAAAACTGTTGCCATAAACTTAATTTCTAGCAAAGGGCAGAGAAAGAAGTCAGATACAAGAGATCACATATTGTTTGATCCCATTCATAAGATATATCCAGAGTGGGTAAATTTATGGAGACAGAACATATATTGGTTATTACCAGGGGCTGGGAGGGAGGGAGAAAGGGCAGAAGCTGCCTGATGGGTGTGGGGTTTTGTTTTGGAGTTCATGGAAAAGTTTTGGAATTAGATTGAGGTGGTGGTTGCACAGCATTGTGAATGCACTAAATAAATGCCTCTGGGTTGTTTAAAATAGCTCATTTTATTTTATGTGAATGTCAGCTTAATAAATTTCAAAAAATAATAATCATAAAATGTAGCAAGGGGAGAGGCATTAGACAAAGTTCATAGTGACAGTGAACATTGTTTGAATGGAAGAAAACAATTGGAAGAGAAGAAATAGGACATGTTAGGTATAATGATGGTTGTTATTTTATTTATTTATTTATTTATTTATTCATTTATTTACTTATTTATTTATTTTTTGAGACAGAGTCTTGCTCTGTCGCCCAGGCTGGAGTGCAGTGGTGTGATCTGGGCTCATGGCAACCTCTGCCTCCCGGGTTCAAGGAATTCTCCTGCCTCAGCCTCCCCAGTAGCTGGGATTACAGACACCTGCCATCAT
The DNA here is from genome assembly GCF_000001405.40 of Homo sapiens. Lineage (NCBI taxonomy): Eukaryota > Metazoa > Chordata > Mammalia > Primates > Hominidae > Homo > Homo sapiens. The sequence continues at coordinate 33,805,594 of NC_000022.11, read as the reverse complement.
GCCCAGCTAATTTTTTGTATTTTTGCAGAGATAGGGTTTCACCATGTTGGCCAGGCTGGTCTCAAACTCCTGACCTCAGGTGATCCGCCCGCCTGAGTCTCCCAAAGTGCTGGGATTACAGGCGTGAGCCACCGTGCCCGACCAGGGTTGAGTCTTTACTCTGAATGAAGTTGGGAGCCATTGGAGTGGTTGGGGCAGAGGAAAGAGATTCCTTGGCTTGCTTTTCTAAAAGATCTCTTTGGTTACTGACTTGAGCAGAGCTTGCAGACAAGGATAGAGGAAGGGAGATCAGTTAGGAAACTAGGACAGTTGTTTCATTCAAGCAGGAGATGCTGGTGGCTTAGACCAAGTGTAGTGGCCAAAGTGTTGGGATATAGTCCAAATCCAGGTGTGTCTTTAAGGTATATTCAGCAGGATTTTCTGAGATATTGGATATGAGACTAACAGAGGAAGAAGAGTCAAGGGTGTGTCTAGTTTTTTATTTGAGCACCTAAAGGAACGAAGTTGGTGGAGTTCGGGAGCTGTCCATATATTCTAACTGGGAAGATTGCAAGAGAAACAAGCTTGGGAGAGAACATTAGGAGTTCAGTTTCAGTCTTATTGAATGAGTGGTGCTTTTTCGATATATCCAAGTGAATATATTGGGCCAGACAGTGGGATATGAGCCAGGAGTTCTGGAACAAGGTTAGGGTGGGAGATACAGATTGGAGGTTGCTGGCCTTTGCAGGCCATTGAAAGCCGTGAACCTGACTGGGATCAGCTAGAAAATGCATGATGGTAGAGAAGAGGAGGCTGAACTTGACTGCACTCTCTGCATGCTCTGGAAAAATAAAACCTGGGTTGCACTGGGGACATTGGGGGCTAGTTCAGTCATTTTTTAGAGCTGGGGTTTTGTTGTTGTTTTTGTTTAAGCCAGGCACTTTAGTCTTAACTTTCAGGGAAAATCAAAGTAGGTTGTTCAAGGTACCCAAAACACACAGATATGCAGCTGGCTTTCTGCAAAGTGTTCATGTGAAGAGGTGCCAGGTGTGTGCCTGGTAAGTGTGTGTTTTACTGAGCAGCAGGGAGCTGAACTGTGGATCTCTTGCAGCCTCCCTTTTGATATGTGCGTCTCAAGCAGTCAACCTGCAAATTGCTTTGTATTCAGAAGGTGCCAAATACATGTTCATGGAATGAATGGATAAATGGTCCTTGCCCTTTGTGCCTGAAGACCATGGTAGAAAGGTGCAGTTTATTATTTTATTGTTGACTTCTGGTTTGAACCAAAGAGGTTTTTGCATATACGTTGGCTATTAGAGATCAAGTCTGCGTTCAATGTTGGAGATTTATTATATTTTGGATAGATAGAGGGCTCTAAAGGCAATTCCCAGAGAAATCCAAAACTATTGTCAACAAAGGCAGCATTAGTGGAATCACTGACTAACTTCCCAAAAAGTTATGTTAAGCAGGCCTTTCTAAGGATGGCAGTCAGGATTGCTATGTTCTCTTCTGTATAGGGAGGAGAGTACAGGATGGCAGCCAGGATTGCTGTGTTAATTCTCTTCTGTATAAACAAGAGAGTACAGAAGACAGTTAACATAACAATCCTGACTGCCATCCTTCAACAGGCCTGCTTACGAGGTTGGCTTTGGCTGGCATCTGGGGACTTGGATTTTAGGAGGGTTCCCATCATTCTCAGACCCGATAAGACTGGGTCACTGTGCTTAAACTGTTGATGCAAACAATATAGTTTATTCTGAACATCTGTTTTCCTTCTGGGAGTCTACAATTTTGGATGCCTGCCTAACCAGTCCTGGGTGAAAACCCTAGGCACGGAACCTCTAATGAGCTTCCCTCGTAAACATGTTTTCACACGTGTGGTCACAGCTCATTGCTGGAGGAATTAAGTGTGTCCTGTGTGACTCTACTGGGAGAGAACTCTTGAAGCTTGAGCCTGGTTCCCTCCAGACTTTGCCTCATAGACCTTCTTCCTTTGCTGGTTCTACTCTATGTCCTTTTGCTGTGATGAGTCATAGCCATGAGATGCTGTAAGTCATAGCCACATCTACATGCTGAGTCTGGCGAGTCCTCCTAGTGAATTGTTGAACCTCACCTCCTCTGCATTTTTGGTTGTTGGTGTTGTTAAACAGCCAGTCATATCATCTTACGGAGCTATGAATTCCATTAGCATTTACTGGATTCCAGCTATGTACAACATACTTGTAAAACTCCAGTTTGCCTTAGAAACTGAGTCAAACCACCAAATGTGTCCAGGAGTAACTCGTTCCCAAGACATTTCCAGATATCAGGCAATATGGAAGCTACAGAGATGAAGTCTCTGAAGCTCAATTGAGATAGGAAATGTAAGTTGTATAGAAGTTGTATAGAAGCAGAACCCCTAGAACATTGAGGGAAATGAGTGCTCTACCAATTCCATAATGTAATAGTAGCTTTTATTAAGAGGAGGGTCATGAATGCTGTCTTGGGGGAGTTAGAGAAGTGACTTTAAGGCATTGGTGGACTTTGCTGGTGTTGAGAAAGAATATTTTGATCTTCCTTGGTATCCGTCGTCATCTTTTAGCTTTCATTTGTGTGTTGATCTATCCACCCATCTTCCTGTCCATCCAATTGTCTGTCTACCCACTCACCCACCCATCTATCTGTCCAGCCTTGCCAGGCAGCTTGTTACATTCATGAGCTTTGATTATGTGTTAGGCTGTGTTCAAGGCACTGAAGTACTGGGGTGAATTGAGTAGGGTCCCTGCCCTCTTGTGCAAAGGAAGGATTTGGTTGGGTGGGAGATGACTAATGAATCCGTACCCTGGTGGTATTGTTTAGGGAGAGGGAGATAGACCTGGGAATAAATATTTATTCCTAGATAGAAGTGCACAATTCTTTCTAGGGATACACAGGTACACATGCCCAATTCACCTTGGTGGGTTGAGTGGGGAGAGGGGCAGGGTGACAAATAAGAGTTACTTGTCACCTTACCTACTGTATATCTAAGCATATTGTCCATACAAAGAGATCAGTGCAGGAGATGTCCTGTGTCCCTGTCTTCATAACCAGAACGGGGAAGAAAACCTCCTCCTGTGAGTTCCCCGAAGGTTAATTTAAAATATTCTTTTCATTTGGCTTTAAGATTACTCAGAGCCATCTTTAATACACAATTAGGGACATAACCATTCCTAAAGGTAGGTGGCAGCTGCCTTCATTCACCTGCCAGTGATAATCAAAGGAAGACTCCCAGCCTGTCTAGTCTGGAACATTCAGCAGGGCCTAAGAGCTCTTCTCTAAGTGATGATGGGACTGAAGCCATCTCTGTAGTGCTTCCCTTGCTGTTCTGAGCCATTTGCAGTGGGAATAAGTGCTTATGGAGTCAGCAGCTGTGAGTTGGGGGAGGCAAATTATTACTTTTATTTTTGGCTCTGCCTGGGGTCAGAATTTCTTTTGTTTCTGATTTACCTTTTATTTGAGAAACTTGGCATGATACCTGTGTTCAGAGGATTCATTAGTCATCTCCCTCTCAACCAAATCATTCCTTTGCACATGTGATTGTTAACCCCTCTTTTTTTTTTTTCTCCAGAGTTAGTTATCAGGCATTTTTTCAGAGGACTTTCATAAGGTAGTCTGAACAAATGAAGATATTATTTTCATTAGTAAAAATAGTAACAGCAAACACTAGGGGTGTCAGACAGTGTTTTAAGTGCGTATATAGCTTTACTCTTTTGATACAACTTATGAAGTAGATGCCATAATTATCTTCCCTGTGTTACATATGAGGAAACTAGTCACTGGGGAAGCGGGGGGTATCAGGTAATTTGTCCAGGTACCTCTTCTGATCTTGGATTTTAAAAGGAGTTGGAACACCAAAAGCACAATTCGTAAAACAAAATGGATGAACTGGAATTAATCACAGTTTAAAATGTGGCTTTGTAGGAGAATCTGTTAAGAGGGTGAAAAGAGACGCCACTGACTGGGAGAAATGTGTGTAAATGACACATTTGACAGAGGACTCGTATCCTGAATATATAAAAATCTCTCCAGACTCAACATTAAAAACCAAACAATCCAATTAGAAAATGGGCAAAAGACTTAGACATGTCACCAAGGAAAATACACAGATGGGAAATAAGCGCATGAAAAGATGCTCAACAACATCAGGGAAATATAAATTAAGACCATAATTAGCTACCATTACACACCTATTAGAATGAATACGATAAAATTTGCTGACAATATCAGATGCTGGTGAGGTTGCAGAGAAACTGTGTCTTTGGTGGGAATGTAATATGGTATGACCATCTGTCAATTTCTTAAAAAGTTAAATATATACCATATGTATTAGTACATTTTCATGCGGCTGATAAAGACATACCTGAGACTGGGAAGAAAAAGAGTTTTAATTGGACTTACAGTACCACATGTCTGGGGAGGCCCCAGAATCATGGTGCGAGGCAAAAGGCACTTCTTACATGGCGGCGGCAAGAGAGAAATGAGGAAGAAGCAAAAGCGGAAACCCCTGATAAACACTTCAGATCTTGTGAGACTTACTCACTATCATGAGAATAGCATGGGAAAGACTGGCCCCCATGACTCATTTACCTCCCCCGGGTCCCTCCCACAACACATGGGAATTCTGGGAGATAAAATTCAAGTTGAGATTTGGGTGGGGACACAGCCAAACCATATCACCGTATGATCCAGAAGTCACACTTCCAGAAAAATGGAAACTTGTGTTTATAGAAATACCTATACACAAATCTTTTTAAGAGTTTTATTTGTAATAGCTCAAAACTTATAAACTACCCCAAAGTCCTTAACAGGTGAATGAATGAACAAAATGTATATCCTTGCAGTTGAACACTACTCAGCGAGAAAAAGGAATGAACTTGATGCGTGCAATAACTGAGATGGGGCTAAAGGCTATTACGTTGAGTGCAAAAAGCCAGTCTCAAAAGGTTAGAGACTATATGGTTCTGTTTGTACAACCTTCTCCCAATGACAGAATTATAGAGCATAGGAAAAGATCAGTGGTTGCCAGGGACTAGGGTGGGGTGTGAGTATAATGGGGTAGCATAATGGAGTTTCTTCAGGATGATAGAACAGTTCTGTATCTTGATTGTGATGGTGGTTGCACAAATCTGTACATGTGATAATATTTCATAGAACTACACACAAATACAAAAAAGCCTGAATGTATGCAAGAACTAATAAAATCTGAATAAGGTCTGTGGTCTAATTAATTGTATCTTGCTGATGTTACTTTCATGATTTTGATAATTATAGTTATATAAATTATCACCATTGGGAGGAAACTGGATGAAGGGTACACAGGACCTCTCTGTACTATTTTTGCAACTTCTTGAGAGTCTATAATTTCAAAATGAAAATAACTGTAAAGTTAAAAAACACACAGGGAGGTAGGTATTTAGCAGTCAGAGCTTTTGATATAATCCTTGCCTGCAAGGGGCTTACTATTTGATTGGCAGGGTTTGGTGTACTCACATTAAACTTTTGGAACGGAATGAGTCAGGGGATAGCAAAAAGCTTAGCTTCATGTCTTAAATGAAGCTTAGCTTAGATGTCTTAAAAATTAAAGCAAGCCATAAGTGCGTGGGACAGCGAGGATCTTCTTCTTCCCTATTTCCTGGCTAAATAGAGCCCACCACATGCACATGTGAGCACACATGGTCTCAGCAAATTCTAGTTCCTACTTCAGATCCTAGCTCTTCTATGACCTTATCTATGGAGAGGTCTGTATTTTCATTCTCCCCTGAACCAACTATGTCCCCATACCAATACACAAAGTCTTCTTCCTCCATATTACCAAACTCTCCGTTTTCAGTCACTCTTGCTTTTGTTTGTGAGAATGTTCCTTATTGACCGGGCACGGTGGCTCACTTCTGTAATCCCAGCACTTTGGGAGGCCGAGGCGGGCAGATTGCCGAGGTTGGAAGTTCGAGACCAGCCTGACCAACATGGAGAAACCCCGTCTCTACTTAAAATTAGCCGGGCGTGGTGGTGCATGCCTGTAATCCCAGCTACCTGGGCAGCTGAGGCAGGAGAATCGCTTGAACCCAGGAGGGGGAGGTTGTGGTGAGCCAAGATTGCACCACTGCCCTCCAGCCTGTGCAACAAGAGCAAAACAACTTCTCAAAAAAAAAAGAAGTTTCTTATCTGTATATGTTTACAAAAACAGCCATCCCTTTTTGTTAAGGAGTTAGTTGTAGATTTGTTTGTCCCCACCACATGGATTATGGCTTTGTTTTCTCAGCAGCAGTGCCTGGTCATAGCCCGGCTCCAGAAATGCTGCTTAACTGATCAAACAGTGGGCAGTGGTATGCCCGTCTCCAGATGCTTAGTCTAACTTCACGTGGATAGGCTCGCATCCTACCCACGGGATTGCAGGTGTTTCTTTGGCGTGATACTCCACCACTGAGAACATTTTGCAAGGTACCAGGCATATCTCTGGCTCTCCATCCATGCATGGATCAAGCTGCTATCAGTAACTTCCTGGAGAAAAAGAAACTCCAGGAATCTGGAGGAATAATACTAGATAAAATTGTCCAAATTATCCATGCACACCAGAAGCTCAAATTGAATACTGTAGATGGCCAGGGTCCACAGTGTTGTTGTTTTTAATGGGATGCAGTAGTGTTGGGTGGAAAGCTGAAATGCCTGACTTTTAAGGTTCCTTCCAATTCAGAATTTTTATGGTTTTGCTGTAGGATGTATGTGCTCGTGCTCCATTTTAGAGCAGCACGGAAAGCCCTCCTGGAGGATTCCTCCGGATGAAAGATTTAGGGTGGGGTCATGGTGTCTGCATTTGCAGCCTGTGTCATGGACCCAATGAAGCTAGTGAGGTGCCAGTTTTTCTTTGTGCATATTCTTCCAGTGTGTCAAGGAGCTTGGGGTGCAGGGACCTGAATGATTACACCATCCTCTTCAGATCATATCTTTGAAAAACGTGTCAAGGTCCTATGTCCGGGGTTTGGAGCAGCAGTGCCAGCGTGGAACACTCCTGTTGCGAAAAAGCCATGTGTGTTGGTAAAGATGGAGAAAAGCAGGATGTGGTCATCCAGTGAGCACTCCAGTGGTTGCTCCTTCTGTCAGCTCTCCCTTTCAAGCCGTCGGGATCCCAGAAGCTTTCACTGTGTTCCTTTTTAACTTGTACATTTCATCATGTAATATACATGTTTATTTGTAGAGGGAAATGCAGAGTATGTGCATGTGTGTAATACCTATACTCACTATTTCAGACATTGCTAGGTACTTTAATATCTAGGTACTTCATTTGATTGATTGATTGATTGATTGATTGAGAGACAGAGTTTCGCTCTTGTCTCCCAGGCTGGAGTGTAACGGCCAGATCTCGGCTCACTGCACCCTCTGCCTCCCAGGTTCAAGCAATTCTCCTGCCTCAGCCTCTGAGTAGCTGGGCTTACAGGTGCCTGCCATCACGCCCGGCTAAATTTTGTATTTTTAGTAGAGACGGCTATTTCAGTAGAGACGGGTTTTCGCCATGTTGGCCAGGCTGGTCTCAAACTCTTGACCTCAGGTGATCCACCCACCGTGGCCTCCCTAAGTGCTAGGATTACAGGTGTAAGCCACTGCACCCGGCCAATGTCTAGGTACTTTAATGTGTAGGTACGATAGCATTTATTGCTTTACGTAATTCATGCAACACCTCTGTGCATTAGGATTATGATCCTCATTTTATAGGTGAGCCACATGGGAGTGAGGCGAGGAGGGATGGTTAGGTTACGGTTGTAAATGGCAAAGCTGAGATAAGACTCAAAATCAGTTTATCTTCAGAACCATTTTGCAAGTAAGGGAGGATCCCAGATCTCAAAGTGCCTGTATCAGTTAGGATGCCTTTGTGCCTTTGGTTGTGAGAAGCAGACTCTACAAACTGGCTTATGCAGGTGAGGGAATATACTGGAAGTTTGCCATAACTGAGAACTCCAGAGGCAGAACCAGCTTAGGGGAGATTGGTCAGGGCTGTCACTTGTCTCCTGCGGTTTCCTAGGCTCTGTCCTCTTCCATGTGCTTCTCCTCTGCCTCCAACCACCGTTGGCTCCTCCATCATTGGAGTAACTCTGGCTCATGCCCATTGGAATCAGTCACTATGGCAAGGGAGCTTTGATTGTACTGGTTGTGTAGGTTAACACGATGGTTTTACACAACCATCTGTAAAATTTGGGATGGTGGGATACCTCCCCAGACCCAGACTTCTGGACACCCTAGATCGTTTTGGGAAGAAGAAAGAGGAGAAAATACCTGTCAACAATGCCCAAAGGCAGAGAAAGGTGGAGCTAAGGGCTTGGTGAAGGGGAGCTGAGAAGGGAGGAGGTGCAGGCTAGGGAAGGCGAATGAACTGGCTGGAGGGGTGCCCCCTTCTTGTCTTTTTCCTCTGCTTGCTTCTGTGCCAACTTACATACCTAGCCATTCACGGGTCCATCACCCTCTTCTGTCCCTGATGTTCTTTGCCAAGCTCCCACTCTCTTTAATTAACAACTTTGGAGATGCTTTTAGAAGAGCCCAAGTCTGGCCAGGCATGGTGGCTCACGCCTGTGATCCTAGCACTTTGGGAGGCTGAGGCAGGCGGATCACTTGAGGTCAGGAGTTCAAGACCAGCCTGGCAAACTTGGTGAACCTTGTCTCTACTAACAATGCAAAAATTAGCCAAGTGTGGTGGTGTGCCCCTGTAATCCCAGCTACTCGGGAGGCTAGGGTAGGAGAATTGCTTGAACCAGGGAGGCGGAGGCTGCAGTGAGCTGAGATCTCCAGCCTAGGAGACGGAGCGACATCCCATCTCAGGGGAAAAAAAAAAAAAAAAAAAAAAGCCCAAGTCTTACTGTGTCACCTTTAAGGTAAAAATCTCCCCTCCTCCTCCACCTGGCTCTGTTTCTTTGCATTTTCCAAGGTCTTCCACAAGAGGGACTTTGCTGTTTTCTTTCTGCAGTTTCTTTAATGGTGTGTTGGTATGGTGCTTTTGGTGGGATAATTTTACTTGGAAAATAATGTTTCTGACCCATGTCCTTCTTTGATTGATTTTTTAAAGATTTATATTTTGCTTTTCTTACGAGTCTTCTGGATTATTTTGGGTGTTTCTCTCTTTTTTGTTTTCCCTGGGAATTTGAGTCTAGCGGGGGCTCAAAAGAGGTTCATTTCGCTAGTGGCTTTGCCTGGTGTCCTCCCAGTCAGAAGTCGGCGACGCTGGTCAGTGGTGCAGCCTTCTCTCCAAACTCTGTCTGCCTTCCTCTTTTCTGATATTCTGAATCCCTAGCTGCGTATTCTCCACTTCTCGTTGAAACCAACTCTTAGAAAAAGGGCTGATGACATGTTAAATTAGCTACTTTGAGTATGTATGTGTATGGATGTATACCCGAGTAATACTCAAACTCTTAATTTGTTTTAATTATTATGCCTTGATTAGGTTATTTAAACTTCAGAACTCCTGTGAGGTACATACAAATGCCACATTTTACACATGAAGAAACTGAGGCCCAGAGATGTCAATTGACTTGCATCAAGTCAGTTTAGAAATAGCAAAGGTGGGATTTGAACCCAGGTAGTCTCTGGCTCCACAGCCTATGTTCTTTTTTTTTTTTTTAATACTTTAAGTTTTAGGGTACATGTGCACAATATGCAGGTTTGTTACATATGTATACATGTGCCATTTTGGTGTGCTGCACCCGTTAACTCGTCACTTACATTAGGTATATCTCCTAATGCTATCTCTCCCACCTCCCCCCACCCCACGACAGACCCCAGTGTGTGATGTTCCCCACCCTGTGTCCAAGTGTTCTTATTGTTCAATTCCCACCTATGAGTGAGAATGTACAGTGTTTGGTTTTCTGTCCTTGCAATAGTTTGCTGAGAATGATGGTTTCTAGCTTCATCCACGTCCCTGAACGCATCCTTTTTTAGGGCTGCATAGTATTCCATGGTGTATGTGTGCTACATTTTCTTAATCCAGTCTATCATTGATGGACATTTGGGTTGGTTCCAAGTCTTTGCTATTGTGAATAGTGCCGCAGTAAACATACGTGCGCATGTGTCTTTATAGCAGCATGATTTATAGTCCTTTGGGTATATACTCAGTAATGGGATGGTCCACAGCCTATATTCTTAACCACTATGTCTAGTGTGTTTCTCTCTTTGTCTCTCTCTCTCCCTCTCCCTCCTAAAACTTCTTATACATAGATCCGTTAATGTGTATATATAGTCATGGTTGCTGCAAGGATCAAGTTATTTGCGTCTGTGTAAACCTACATATAAGTAAGTAGTGGTAGTAATTATTATGGCTGTTAATGAAATACTTACTGTATACCAGCAATTATGCTAAGTGTTAAGTACTTAAATTCTCCCATGCTGAGCTTTCAGCAGCCCTACAACTTGTTACTGTATTTATCCTACTCCTACTTTTTAGATGAAATTGGGTTTTAGGATTAATTTATACCAGATTACACAGTTTACAAAGACGGAGACTGAATTCAAACCTCTTTAAAGACTAGTTCTCTTAAAATAGGATCAGCAACAACTCTTACCATTCATTGAGTCCTATGACATGCTGAAGGTAAAGGAAAACAATGCTGACGCAGTCTCACTTCAAGCATCCTCTGAGGGAGTTTGGCCTCATTTTATATGAATAGTGTTCCTTTTTACTCTTGAAATTGTCCCATTTTAAGGCCGGGCACGGTGACTCACGATGGTAATCCCAGCACTTTGGGAGGCGGAGGCAGACGGATCACCTGAGATCAGGAGTTCAAGATCAGCCTGGCCAATATAGTGAAACCCTATTTCTACTAAAAATATAAAAATCAGCTGGGTGTGGTGGCACGTACCTGTAATCCCAGCTACTCGGGAGGCTGAGTCAGGAGAATTGCTTGAACCCGGGAGCGGAGGTTGCAGTGAGCCGAGATCGTGCCACTGTGCTCCAGCCTGGGCGACAGAGCGAGACTCCATCTCAAAAAGAAAAGAAAGAAATTTTCCCACTTTGAGGAAATGAGTCTGTGGTTTCTGGATGGATAAGAAAACTGAGTTTAGAGAATTTGTGCCACTTGTCCAAGGCCACACAGCAGTAAAAGGATAGACTGGGGTTGGAACTCTGGTCTGTCTGAAGAGGCCAGGCTCTTCACCCTGACAGTTGCCTGGCTTCTGGTATTTGCTGCCTTCTTGCTCCTCTTCGAGAGCAGTTCTGGCTTTAAAAACAAGTTCTGTGGGCAGAGGTACTCCATGCCCCAGCCTGAGCCCTTGGGGCCCACCTGGGATTGGTGGTGTCTGGGCGATCTCAGGGTTCCCTTCTTTCTTCCCTCCCTCCTGAGAAGAATCAGACTCAGACACCATCTTTTGTGGTCTAGTGTTTGGGAAAAGACGGCTGCACAGTCTCCACCAGCATTTGCAAATTATTCACAAATTATATGCACAGACACATGGGGCCCAACTACATACGTCGCAGACTTGAATGTGGGTCCTGGGAAGCTTCTGGATATGTGAGTTTGGGGGTTGGGCATCCCATCTAGCATAAACTTACCATCTTCATGCTTGCAGCCTTGCAATATACAGGCCCTGTTTTCCCCTCAACATTAATAAACTTTATTTTCCCTGCAGTTGTAGGAGACAGAGGCTCTATAGAAAACTTACAAATGAAAACATATTCTTTTGGAAAAAAAAATTATGGTTATCAATTCCTTCTTTATTAGTTTTCTTTTATTTTTAGATCCATTTGCATGAAAGCAAGAGATTCTCACACCACCCCCTCTTTGTATGATTATGACAGAGAGGCAATAAGAGGACAGATTCTTATGAAAAAAAAAAAGTTGGGGGGTGCTTGCCTTATTTGAGAAAACAGAGATCTGCAGTGATGAAGCTACACATACCACATAGCTTAAGAGAGGAGCTGGAAAAAGTTCTATTTAGGGAGAAGGATTTTTCCTGTGTTCTTGCGGGAGGTAGGAGGGACTCTGGAAGTGACAGTAGCTATCCGTATTCTGGAATAAAAGCTGTTCTCCTGAGAAAAGAAGCAATATTCCTCACTTCTCACAGCCTGTGCCGGGTTTCAGGTTTGGGAGTGGGAATTGGACATTTGAACCTTTCATTTCCTAAATGGATTTGCAATAAATAAAACTAGAGTTAAGGCCTCATTTCAGTAAACATGGGGGAGCTGTTGGAAGCTGCTGCTCCCTGTTTCAGACGATTATCTCCCACTCAGTCCTGGTGGGCATTATGTATGCCAGGTGGGAGCGGAGACTGATTTTGTCCTTCCTCATTGAAGCCTGGAAAAGTCTAGTATCTTTTATCAGATGTGGGGTGGTTGGCTGTTTCCTTTTCTCCTCCAGCCATGATATTTTTAAAATTGACAGCCCCGTTGTGATCCAGGGTGATGAGAGAGAGACTGACATTTTAAAGTTTCAGAACATGTTTTTCAGCTCTTCTTTGGATTGCTAATGTGAATAATAATGCCACATTGAACACTTATCCTGTGCGATGCTGTAGGAGTGTGGTAAACATCTCATAAATCTTCATGGCACTGCTCGCTGCAGCATGGCCAGTCGTGGAACTCCCTGCCTCCGTCTCCTCCTCTGGGCACGCTCAGCAGCTTTCGCTGTTTGGGTGGAAAGCTGTTTGTGGATATTAAAGGAGATGGTACTTGGTCTAGAAGAGGTGCTCAATGTCAGTGTCTTCTTTAGCCCCTCCCCTGGCCCCACCTTCTCCTTTCTTTTTCCCGTGGCTGGGGTTTTGGGGAAGTCCCTGAACACAGTGAGAAAGGGGTCTGTTTTCTCCTGAGTAATTTGAAAATCTTGGCTAAGAATGGGGGAGAGAAAGGAGGGTGTGGATGCTACTAGGTGAGGGCTTGGGAACTCCTACATTTCCTATGGAGGAAGAGTTTCAAAACTTGTGTTTTTTTGCTTCTGTGCTTTGTTTTTTTTTGTTTTGAATATGTGACTTGATTATTCTGGTTTGTAACGTTGTCTTTAGGAAATGAAAGATGCCTCATTATTTTCTGATTCCCCAATATCCTGCCCTCTTAGGGGTTTCCTAGTAACAGATTTTCCTGGTTAGACCTTGCCCTCCTGTGTTAGTTCATTCTCATGCTGCTAATAAAGACATACCCCAGACTGTGCAGTTTATAAAGGAAAGAGGTTTAATTGATTCACAGTTCAGCATCACTGGGGAGGCCTCAGGAAACTTACAGTCATGGTGGAAGGGGAAGCAAGCACATCCTTCTTCACATGGCGGGAGCAAGGAGAAGTACCAGCAGGGAAAATGCCAGACACTTATAAAACCATCAGAACTCCTGAGACACACTCATTATCACGAGAATAGCATGGGGGTAACCACCCCTTGTGATTTGATTACGTCCTAACAGGTCCCTCCCATGACATGTGGGGATTATGGGAACTACAGTTCAAGATGAGATTTGGGTGGGGACACAGCCAAAGCATATCACCTCCTAACAAGTATAATCCTAGGTTGTCTGTGGCCATAGTGCGTTCTGTTTTACCGAATTGACGTCTCTGAGTCTGAACACTGGTTCTGCTGCTAAGTGCTCCTGGACTCTGAGGCTCTGCATTTAGGCTCTCTGGGCATCTATTTCTCACATAGAAAAGGGAACAGATAATAAAAAAGCCTACCCTGTGGGGCTGTTGTGAGTAGTAAACGAGGTAATGTTATCAAGTGCCTGTCTTAGCATGCAGTATGCACTTCACAAATAAGACACATAAAAATTTCTTTTTCCCTTGGACACAAGACTTAGAGTATTTTTCCTAGGATGATGGTGGTAGTTGTGAGTAGTAATATGAGTAGCAATGGCACTAGTGCTGGCAGTAATAGTGGTAGCACTAGTGCTGGTGGTCATAGAAGTAGTAAGCCTTTGGCTTGGCTTCCATAATGAAAGTCTATAATGATTTCTATATAATAATCTCTGCTCTTTAGCAGCATTTTTCCAACAGAAATTTATCCATAAAGTGCCCAATAACCTAATGATAAGGCATTGTTAGCAGTGAGATATTCCATACAAATGAATTTTCAGATGAAGTGGCACTTTTCCCTTTAGGCAGCAACATTTCTAAACACAAAATGAAACCAAAGAGGCATAATGATTTTGTGGAAAATGTTCTAAGCTAGTATTTTTCTTCCTTTGCAAACAGAAAAGACTGAAAATAATTAAATTTTTTTGTAATATGACTCAGTTCCCCTTTGTGCCATATTATAATCCATGGAAATTACTGAGTTGTGCAGAAGAGTTTACTCCTAGGGTATACGGCCCCAAAGGATCATGCTTTTTTAATTCTTGAGACTGCTCTTTGTTCTTCTTTTTTAATTTTTTTGGCCAGCCATAAGGATACTACGCAGACATGCTCACCATTCCTAAACTTCCTGGGGAAAGTTTAAAGGTGGCTACAGCCTTTCCAGTGTACAGCACAAAGACATTTTAATTTTAATGATTTATCTCGCTCATGAGCTTTTCTCATTTACTTATAGAATAAAGTTTTCATTCTTCATTTAGAAGGCTTTTCTTTATAACTAGTACAAGTTATAAAACAGACCATCTATCCTTTATATTCTCTTAAGAAATTTGTGTTTGTGGTAGGTAAAATGAAAAGTTACTGCCGTTGTTTTTGGTAGAATTTACCTGGTGTTCACCTTGAAAGGATATGTGCTTGTGGGCCTTTTAAAGCAAAAACAAAATAAAAAAAGGATTGAAACTTCTGAAGTTATCTAAATAAATATTCTTGGTATGTATTGCTGTGAAAACAAAATTCAACAGAGCTTTTAGATGTACATGTCAGTTATATCTTATATTTTGTAGAACTTGAGAAGTTGGCATGTCAGATTAGTAGATGCTCTGGATGCGGAGTTTTTCAATCTTTGTGACAGGTAGGATACATTTAAACTTTGGTCAGCTTCCGGAGAGGCATAGCCTGGTCTTTCATCATATATCTGAAGGCAAAAAGATAGATGGAAATCTCTAAGCAGTATGAATTGTAAGTATTTCTGTTGAGTTATAAATACCTCAAGGAAAAGAACCATCTTAGTTTTCTTTTATTCACTTAACAAATATATATTGGCTTTTGAAGTGGTTGAGTGTAGAGTTCTAGAGTTAAAAATATTTTGGACTTAAAGAAAAAAAAATTGGTTTAAATTCCTGCTGTATCCTTGGATGATTCAGTGTAGGCCAGTTTCCCTTCACAATAGTTATTGAGGGGCTACTGGGTGTCAGTTGCTATGCCAGGTGTATTAGCATGTTCTCACGCTGCTAATAAAGACATACTGGACAGTGGGTAATTTATAAAGGAAAAAGGTTTAATGGACTCACAGTTCACATGGCTGGGCAGGCCTCACAATCATGGCAGAAGGTGAATGAACAGCAAAGTCATGTCTTACATGGTGGCAGGAAAGAGAGGTTGTGCAGGGGAACTCCCATTTGTAAAATTCTCAGATCTCATAAGACTTATTCACTACCATGAAAACAGTATGAGGGAAACCCCCATGATTCAGTTATCTCCACCTAGTGCCGCCCTTGATGTGTGGGGATTATTACAATTCAAGGGGAGTTTTGGGGACACAGCCAAACCATATCATTCTGCCCTCAGCCCCTCCCAAATCTCGTGTTCTCTCATTTCAAAACCAATTATGCCTTCCCAACAGTCCCCCAAAGTCTCAACTCATTTCAGCATTAACTCAAAAGTCCACAGTCCAAAGTCTCATCTGAGACAAGGCTAGTCTCTTCCACCTATAAGCCTGTAAAATCAAAAGCAAGTTAGTTACTTCCTAGATACAATGGGAGTACAGGGCTTGGGTAAAAATTCCCATTCCAAATTGGAGACATTGGCCAAAATGAAGGAACTACAGGCCCTGTGTATGTCCGAAATCATATGGGGCAGTTAAATCTTAAAGCTCCGAAGTGATTTCCTTTGATTCCATGTCTCACATCCTCTAGGTCATGCTGATGCAAGAGGTGGGCTCCCATGGAGTTGGGTAGCTCTACCCCTGTGACTTTGCAGGGTACAGCCCCCATCCTGGCTGCTTTCACAGGCTGGTGTTGAGTGCCTGAGGCTTGGTGCAAGCTGTTGCTGGATCTACCATTCTAGGGTCTAAAGGACAGTGGCCCTCTTCTCACAGCTCCACTAGGCAGTGCCCCAGTGGGCACTCTGTGTGGGGGATCCAACCCCACATTTCCATTCCACACTGTCCTAGCAGAGGTTCTCTATGAAGGCTCTGCCCCTGTAGCAGACATCTGCCTGGACATCCAGGCATTTCCATACATCCTGTGAAATCCAGGCAGGGGTTCCCAAATCTCAATTATTGACTTCTCTTTACCCCCAGGCCCAACAGCATGTGGAAGCCACCAAGGCTTCAGCCTTGCACCCTCCGAAGCAATGGCCTGAGCTCTATGTTGGCTCCTTTTAGCCACGGCTGGGACACAGGGCACCAAGTCCTGAGACAGCAGAAAGCAGCAAGGCCCTGGGCCTGACCCACGAAACCATTTTTTCCTCCTAGGCCTCCAAGCCTGTGATGTGAGGGGCTGCTGTGAAGACCTCTGACTTGCCCTGGAGACATTTTCCTCATTGTCTTGGCAATTAACATTTGGCTCCTCATTACTTAGGCAAATTTCTGCAGCAGGCTTGAATTTCTTATCAGAAAAAGGGTTTTTCTTTTCTATTGCATTATCAGGCTGCAGATTTTCAAAACTTTTATGCTTTGCTTCTCTTGTAAACATAAATTCCAATTCCAAACCATATCTTTGTGAATACTTAAAACTGAATGCTTTTAACAGCACCCAAGTCACCTCTTGAACGCTTTGCTGTTTAGAAATTTCTTCTGCCAGATGCCCTAAATCATCTCTCTCAATCTTCTCTCTCAAGTTCAAGTTTCTACAAATCTCTAGGGCAGGGGCAAAATGTCACCAGTCTTTTTGCTAAAACCTAGCAAGAGTCACCTTTATTCCAGTTCCCAACAAGTTTCTTATCTCCATCTGAGACCACCTTAACCTGGACTTCATTGTCCATATCACTGTCAGCATTTCGGTCCAAGCCATTGAACAAGTTTCTAGGAAGTTCAAAACTTCCCACATCTTCCTGTCCTCTTCTGAGCCCTCCAAACTGTTCCAACCTCTGCCTGTTACTCAGTTCCAAAGTTCCTTCCACATTTTTTGGGTATCTTTATTGCAGCACCCCACTTCTGATACCAATTAACTGTATTCATCTGTTCTCACACTGCTAATAAAGATACACCCAAGACTGGGTAATTTATAAGGGAAATAAGTTTAATGGACTCACAGTTCCACATGGCTGGGAAGGCAAAGGAGAAGCAAAGGCACGTCTTACATGGCAGCAGGCAAGAAAGCTTGTGCAGGGGAATGCCCTTTTTTATAAAACCATCGGATCTCATGAAACTTATTCACTACCACGAGCACAGTATGGGGAAAACCGACCCCATGATTCACTTATCTCCACCTGGCCCTGCCCATGACATGTGGGGATTATTACAATTCAAGGTAAGATTTGGTTGAGGACACAGCCAACAAATAATACCAAGTATGGTGGACATAGCTGAGAACCAGCTGGATGCTTGGTCTCTGGCCTCCTGGACTTTACTGGGCAGGGTTTCATGAACTCTGTCATCCTCATATCCCTTTATAGTGTTTGGCCACATCTTCTTAAGACCTTGTTATTTACTTAAATACATTAAAGATATTAAGAAGTTTATGTCATTCTCTATAAATAGCAGGGAACCACAGGAACTAAACCATGTTCAAGTCTGGCTAGATGCTGCTACTAGCCAAAAGCTATCTGAATGGAAACTCTCAGTTCCTTCTTACCAAGTGTTGAAGGGCTGTAAGGACACACTAACAGTGTATTGAGGCTTGCCTGGAATGCATTAGAAGAATTGTCAAGGGAGGGGGTAACTTTCTCACTAAGTTCTTTTGAACTGAGAGATGAAGATTTTTAAGGCTGATGTAAATATTTGATTTTTCTCATTCTGATTGAGCTGAGTGCAACATGTTGGGAACGGCTTCATGCAGAAAGCCTGTGGTGAATGGGGTCTGGAAGAAGACTTTGGAGTTGACTTGGAAGGAAGATAGTTTGGAGGCAGGACTGGTCATAAAATCACCTTTATTTGCTTTTGAAATATTATTTTATATCAGGTGTCAAATGTAGAAATCTGAAATTCTGGAAATTAAAAGCTGTTTCAGAACAATATTGAGATATCACCCATGAAGATCCTGTCTTGGTAGGAGGAGCGTAGGGAAAATGTCCTGATCAGTGCACTCACTTATTGCCAGGGACAATAACATCACCACTGAGAATAAGGTCACCAGTCTAACTAGTGCCCCATATTCTGTAAAACTTGCCTCTCCAGTGCTTTTCCAGAGGTTTAGGTTAACCAGCAAATCAGAAGTCTCAAAGATCTTTTCTAGTTCCTGCTTGAAATTGGGTAGAAGATAATACCAGCTGTTACGTGGAAGTATAGCATGCCATTCACTTAACGTGGAATGAAGCAAAACATTCTGAGAGGGAAGACCTATTACAGTGCATGTGTACCATTATCTTACTTTTTCTTTCTTTTTTTTTTTTTTTTTGAAATGGAGTCTCACTCTGTCACCCAGGCTGGAGTGCAGTGGCACAATTTCGCCTCACTTCAACCTCTGCTTCCCGGGTTCCAGTGATTCTCCTGCCTCAGCCTCCTGAGTAGCTGGGTCTACAGGCAGGCGCCACCACGCCTGGCTAATTTTTGTATTTTTTAGTAGAGACGGAGTTTCACTATATTGGCCAGGCTGGTCTCGAACTCCTGACCTGGTGATCCGCCCACCTTGGCCTCCCAAAGTGCTGGGATTACAGGCGTGAGCCACTGCGCCCAGCCTATCTTACTGTTAAGCTGTAATGGTGTTATAGGCAGGACAGGTATTTGGTACTGAGGAAGGCTCTTCAAGGATGTGAGAATTAAGCTGAGTGAGACCTGAGGGAAATGCCAGGGGACCCCCTCAGGAGGGGAGGCTCTGAAGGGAGGAGAATTCTCGGAGACCCTCTGGAGGGAGTAGGGAGAGAGAGAGGTCCCCAACCTCCTTCTGAGGCACCTCTTTATAAGGTTGGAATATTTTGTACTGTTTCCTATCTCTTGGAGAGAAGAGTCCACCCTTTCCCAGGTAACCTGTCTCAGCTTTGGAGAGGCTGAGATGGAATTCCAGGGACCAAATCTAATTAATTCCTCAAAAGAGAAGTGCCTTTTGGGAGTAGCAATATTGAATCTCACTTTGATAGCTCCTGGTGGAGCAATTTGGAGAGAATATATTGGGGATGCTTTTTTCCAATTAATATGCTTGAATAAGAACTTTGGTGCTCCTTTGCAGTATAAAATGAATGTATAGTAAAAATAAGAGCCTTTTTCTTCTAAGAAGGGCCTTATTAGAACTTGGAAAGCCACCTTCCCTGTCTTCCCAGCACCTGAATACTGTGCCCTACTTATGCCCAAAAGACAATGTACTTCTTGAGGAATTTTTGTAATTTAGAAGCATGTTTTTGCTACCTACAGGATTAAAAAAATAAAAATAATAAAGATGCTGTCAGACTTGGCCTCCAGGCAATTTAGTGCTGCCTGTGGCTTCTGGTACTGTGCATTTTAAACAGTCCTGCCTCTTCTCCTTTTTATTTTTTTACCACCCTGCCCTGGTTATGGCAACTTAATACAGCATGTCTAAATATCTACCCCTTGTTTGCACAGAAATAGTGCACAAATTAGATAAAATGGCATTTCCTTTCTCTCTTGACAGCTTGGAATTTTTTTTTAAGTGGCTTTGACAAGATTCAGGGCCAAATTATGAAATCACCAGGTGACCCTTTCCGTTCATCAGCTGCTAATGAACTTAGAAAATTGAGATCTCATCTGGCAGACAAACTCATTTTGTTTGACAAGCAGCTTAAAAGTATTTGTAAATGAACAAATTATGTTTTTTTTCCCCTCCAGTTGGCCCTGTGATCACTACACATGGGTTTTACAGTTTTGTTTGTTTCTTTTTTAAACTTGTCAGAGGTCTGTAGAAACCAGGCACTGGGTTTCTTCCTGTCTTGATTCCTTTCATGTTGTGCATTGTTAGCCTAGGGTAGGTGATTCACACTAGCCACTCTGGTAGTAATCGGTTAGGGTATTAGAAAGAGTGCTGGATGTGAAACAGGCAGGCCTGGGGTGAGATACTGTTCACCCGTTACTCATCGAGTGACTTTATGAGTTGTGTAACATCTGAATACTTCAGTTTTCTAATTCATAAAATGGATGGCTAATTTAAGTGGGGTGTGTGTGTATATATATACACATATATACGTATATATACACATATGCACATATACACATGCATATATACACATATGTATGTATACACATATATGTATATACACATATGTATGTATACACATATATGTATATACACATATGTATGTATACACATATATGTATATACACATATGTATGTATACACATATATGCATATACACATATGTATGTATACACATGTATATACACATATGTATGTATACACATATATCTATATACACATGTATGTATACACATATATGTATATACACATATGTATGTATACACATATATGTATATACACGTACACATATGTATGTATACACATGTATATACCCATGTACACATGTATACACGTGTATATACATATATGTATATACACACACATATAATATACAGTATATATACTGTACAAATATAGTATAAATACGTACAAATATAAACTGTCTATGTGTGTATATTATACATATATGTGTATATACATATGTGTATGTGTGTATGTATACTATATGGTATACATACTGTATGAATATATGGTATATATATTGTTTATGTACAAATATAAACTCTGTATGTGTGTATATAAATAAAATAAAGATTCATTTTGTGCATATTAGTACCTGTGACTGTCTCCTGAAAGCAGAACAGACTTCTTTGAGGGTAGAATGCCACTTTTATTCTAACTTTTCAATACATTATTGATCTTGCACCGGAGCACCTAAACTCTGAACTGGTTTAAAAAGTGAATTAGGGCACTAGAAATCCTTACCTTCCATTTTTGTTCCCTCAAATTTAAGCGAGAAGTTAGTAGTTCTTTAGTTAACTTCCAGGAGCTCCCACGCTATACACAGGCCATATGGTGACAAATAGACATTCTGGAGTCAGATTGCTGGGTTTATATTTTTGTTCCATCATTTACTGGCTTGTGACTTCGAGCAAATTGCTTTATTTCCTCTTCTATACATTGGGGATAGTATTAACTAATTTACAGGGTTGGATTTTAGTAAGACAACGTATGTGAAGCACTCATGTATGTAGAGCTTGGCATTGCAGAAAGATACTGCTCAGTATATGATAGAAAATACTACTGCAAGTCGTAATGTTATTGGTTTATTCATTAGCAGAAAGCAATTGTTGCAGTTGTTAAACAAAACGAAACGAAAAGCCATTCTAATTAAGCAGAGTCTAGTGAGAGCTCAGAGGAGTCTGAGTTGGTTTTACCAAAGAGGAGGTCTCTGAAGGATGGATTGGAGGTAATCTTGGATCTGCCATGCACTAAAAGGGGAAAAAGAAAAAAGAAAGAGAGAGATTGTCTTAGTGATTTGGAACTGATTGGCCTTACCAACTTGGAAGCTCCTTTTAAACACATAGGTCCTTTTTAGAGCCCATTGAGGAAAGACCACTCTAATCTCCCTCTACCGCCCACTACTTCCACTACTTCCAGTAGAGCCTGGTGGTCAATAACCACCAGGGAAGTTAGAGCCCGTTCTGCAGCAGTGATTGTCAGAATCATGCAGTGGCACCAGCACTGCCATTCTCTTATCCTGCGACCATATCCTTGGCTGGGTTGCAAGCAATTTCTCATATGTAGTAGGCCACAATGGATACTTGTTTGATTAAATCAACAACAACAACAATAACAACAAAACACTGCTCTTCTGTCTGGAGAGTACTTTTAGTAGACACCTCTTCTTCCTTTCATGATAACTCTCCATACAAATTTGTGTTTTTTGAGATGGAGTTTCGCTCTGTTGCCCAGGCTGGAGTGAAATGGCATGATCTCAGCTCACTGCAACCTCCGCCTCCCAGGTTCAAGCGATTCTCCTGCCACAGCCTCCCAAGTAGCTGGGATTACAGGCACCCGCCACCATGCCCAGCTAATTTTTGCATTTTTAGTAGAGATGGGGTTTTGCCATGTTGGCCAGGCTGTTCTCGAACTCCTGACCTCAGGTGATCCACCGCCTCAGCCTCCCAAACAAATTTTTAAATATCTCAGCCTTCTAGTCCCTTTTCCCATGATTTGGCTATAATCTCAAACTGCTCTTGCAAATTTTTTTTTTTTCTGAAGAAACATAGTGCTCAAAGAGACTCTCATCACTCTGATGAGAGAGAAACAGATCCAGTGGATTAACGTGTTTTGCTAAGTGCTGTGATAGGAGACCTAGAAAACAAGCTTTTGGCCCTTTATATGATCTTGAGGGAATCTCCTGACCTTTTGGATACTTAGTCTTTTCGTCTGTAAATTGAGTACCATAGCATTTGTGTCACAGCATTACAATGCCAATTAAATCAGGCCGAAGCACTGTAGTGTATGGCCTGACACGCTACGGTCTGGAAATTTCTCAGGAAAAATAAGGGTGTGATGAGTGGAAGTGGAACACTCCCTCTCTCTCTCTCTTTTTTTTTTTTTTTAAACTTGATTTTGTTTTTTTGGAGACAGAGTCTCACTCTGTTGCCAGGCTGGAGTGCAGTGGCGTGATGTTGGCTCACTGCAACCTCCACCTCCCGGGTTCAAGTGATTCTTCTGCCTCAGCCTCCCGAGTAGCTGGGATTACAGGCACGCACCACCACGCCCAGCTAATTTTTGTATTTTTAGTAGAGACGGGGTTTCACCATGTTGGCCAGGATGGTCTTGATCTCCTGACCTCGTGATGCGCCCGCCTCGGCCTCCCAAAGTGCTGGGATTGCATGCATGAGCCACCGCGCCCAGCCCAATTTGATTCTTTATTTTGGTAGTAGCTAATCTATGTGATGAAGCCCTGACTCTTCATTGTTCTCGTGTCACTGATGTAAAACAACAACACATTTAAATGTGTGTTTAAAATGTACAATTCATATAATGTACAATTTAGTGGTTTTTAGTATTTTCACAAGGTTGTGTGATTGTCACAACGAATTCCAGAACATTTTCCTCACTCCCAAAAGAAACCCCATATGCATTATCAGTCACTGCCACTCTCCTCTTATTCTAGCTCCTGATAACCATGTTCTGTCTCTGTGGATTTGGACTGGGAGAGACATAAAGGATAGGGGCTACTCTCCCTCCCGTCTTAAATGCGTCTCAGTCATGAACCTTGCCATATTTTAGTGCTTTAAACATTTTTAAAAATAGTTGATTTGAGGAGGAGGAGGATAAAACAAACAGCAGAACCCAAAAAGAAGAACTCGGACTCCAGACTTAATTCTATCCTTTGCCCTCTGGCTAACTTTGGATATGCCAATTCTTTGTCTGAGCCTCATTTTCCCCATGCAGATAATTTACATTGTATTAGAGAACTACCTCCTCCCCAAGCTCTCTTTCAGGCTTAAATTCAGTGATCTTGAGTCTGTGTGTGTGTATATATATATATGTATATACACACACACACATTGATTTTCTTTTACCATGTGCTGGTTCTTTCAGTCTCTTGCTGCTTTCTGTTATCCACGGAGCTGGCATTGCTTTCTATTTTTATCAGTGTACTATTTAAATATAGAAATAAATATCTTATGTATATCTATTTGTGTGTGTGCATAAAGCAGTGGAATTTATGGACTAATGCGGTCACTTACGTAAATTACTTAGCACGGGGTTTGGCACATACTAAGTGCTAGATAAGTATTATTTGCTAGGTGAGTGATGGGTCACCCTGGGGTAGACCAGTTGACATTTGCTCATATGGAACTTGTTCAGTGAATTGTCCTAAGTGATCACAGCTGGAAGCTGCCTTGGTCTTTGGATGGGGCTTCTGCTGTCTGCATTCTTTCCTCTTTGCTTTCACTAGTTTCTGGAACACGTCAGTGTGAATTTTTTTTTAAGGCAGAGTCTCGTTCTGTTGCCCAGGCTGGAATGCAGTGGTGCAATCTTGGCTCACTGCAACCTCCACCTCCCAGGTTCAGGTGATTCTCCTGCCTCAGCCTCCCGAGTAGCTGGGATTACAGGCACCCACCACCATGCCTGGCTAATTTTTGTATTTTTAGTAGAGATGGGGTTTCACCTCATGTTGGCCAGGCTGGTCTTGAACTCCTGACCTCAGGTGATCTACCCATCTTGGCCTCCCAAAGTGCTGGGATTACAGGTGTGAGCCACAGCACCTGGCCGTCAGTGTGAAATTATAGATTTGGAAAAACAAATCCTGTGAGAAGAGCAATTTACCGTACCCTGCTCTCTTCAAGTGACGTGGGAAATGAAAAACGTCCAAACTAAGACAAATTTATTGGATACCAAAACCACCAGGCTATTGATTCTTAAAGCCAGACAACAAGGTTATGAATTGGGTGATAAAAATGGAAAGCATTTAGCTTGACTTCTAAGGCGGGGCAGCTTTGTGCGCTATCGCAGTTATTGGGTTCTACTGACAGCCCCACAACTAATGACCTAGCACTTATTAACCAGAGTGTTTACTCTATGTGCTACATCTGTCTAATGTGTTGTGTGAGTGAGATATATCTGAACAATTTGATTTTGTATTGAGGCCGGGGTGCCTGAGACTTACTCTGTAACTTTGAAGGCTGCAAGAACATTAGCTAAAAGTTCTTAGCTGCAGCAAGGAAAGCAAGAAATTGTTCTAAGCCCTAAATAGTTTTGCACTGCTGCAGAGGAGGGATTTATGTCTCCTGATGGGTTTTGGAATGGATAAGCAGATGTTGTGTGTTAGATGTTAGAGATCAGTTATTGAACCCACAGTTATTTTAATTTGGATGCTGAAATTCAGAGAGGCTGTGTTCATCAGGGTCATAGTCAGTTGCTGACTGAGATTTCCTAAAGCTTGGCTTCATGCTCCTTCTTTCACACCATTCAGACTGTTGAGGCCTGTGGCAGCTGTCAAGACCGTGCTGTCCATCCTCCAGCTGCCTGGAGTGAGCCCCACTGCTCTTCGACAGGGGCTGCTGGGGACTGGGTATCACTGACCCCGTGGAACTGAAATGCCTCTTTTTGACTCTGTCTCACAGTGGTTTACTTGTGTCTTTTACTCGATGGTGCAGGTAACTGTTATGGGTTGAATTCTGTCTCCAGAATTCATATGTTGAAGTTCCAAGCCTCAGTGCCTCAGAATGTGACCTTATTTGGAAATGGGGTTGTTGCAGATGCAATTAGTTGAGGTCATCCTGAAGCCACTTGGGTCCTTAATCCATTACAACCAGCGTCCTTGTAACGGGAAGTTTGGACACAGACGTGCACACAGGCACAATGTCGCGTGAAGGTTGGAGTTGTGTTGCCACAAGCTAAGGTCCTACCAGGAGCTAGGAGAGAGGCCAGGAACAGATCTTTCCCCAGCGCCTTGAGAGTGAGCGTGCCCTGTTCACACCATGATCTTGAACTTCTAGCCCACAGAACTGTGAGACAAGTTTCTGCTGTTTAAGCCACCCAATTTGTAGCACTGTTGTTATAGCAGCCCTGGCAAACTGACACAATAGCCCAGTGAGCATTCTATACCATGAAAGTAGAATTAGGAGAGGAAGATACAGTAGACTGTACCCTCTTACCACCCCCTAGTTCTTCTTTTTTTAATTTTTTTTTAATTTTTTTGAAACAAGAGTTTTGCTCTTGTTGCCCAGGCCAGACTGCAGTTGCGCGATCTTGGCTCACTGCAACCTCCGCCTCCCGGGTTCAAGTGATTCTGCTGCCTCAGCCTCCCAAGTAACTGGGATTACAGCACACGCCACCACACCTCCACATCTGGCAATTTTTGTATTTTGAGTAGAGATGGGGTTTCACTATGTTGGACAGGCTGGTCTCCAACTCTTGACCTCTGGTGATCCACCCACCTCCGCCTCCCAGTGTCCTGAGATTACAGGCATGAGCTACCACGCCTGGCCTTTTGTTTTAAAATGATCAAACTGTCGCTAGGAACTTGATTACTTCTCACTGTAGAGCTGCTGGGTGCCAGATTACAAGCTAGGTACTTCCTGGTTCCACTCTGTACTATTGTGTGTAATGTATGGCATATTATTTAACCTACCCTGAGCTGTGGTTGTCTGATGTGTACAATAATGGGTGGAATAATGATAGACAAATATTAGGAGTTTGGGGTGGATTAAGCACCCACCATAGAGCCAGACATATATAATGAAATAACCACCGTTCCTTGTGTGGTTCTAGAACCTTATGTGCTAAATTCTAGAAATTTAGGATCATTAATAATAACAAAGATAAATCCCATGTATGCAGAGCGAAGAGATTTAGGTAAACTTAAGAAAAGGCATTCATCTCAAACAAGTACTTACGCGCAAATGTTTGTAGCAAAACTATTCACGGTGGCCCAAAGTAAAAGCATGCCAAATATAACATCACCTGATGAATGGATAAACAAAATGTGGCCTCTCCGTGCAATGGACTATTAATCAGCTGTAAAACAGGATGCTAGGCTGGGTGCGGTGGCTCACGCTGGTAATCCCAGCACTTTGGGAGGCCAAGGCGGGTGGATCACCTGAGGTCGAGAGTTCGAGACCAGCCTGGCCAACATGGGGAAACCCTATCTCTACTAAAAATACAAAAATCAGCTGGGTATGGTGGCAGGCGCCTGTAATCCCAGCTACTGGGGAGGCTGAGGCAGGAGAATTGCTTGAACTCAGGAGGCGGAGGGTGCAGTGAGCCGAGATTGCGCCACTGCACTCCAGTCTGGGCGACAGAGCGAGACTCTTTCTCCAAAAAAAAAAGGATACTGCGCTGACATGTGCTGCAACATGGATAAACCTTGGGTACATGGTGCTGAGTGAGAGGAACCAGACCCAAAAGGCCATGTGTTGAATGATCCCACATACATGGAATATACAGAGCTGCTAACTCTGTAGAGGCAGAAAGCAGATGTTGGTTGCCAGGGACGAGGAGTAAGGGAAAATGGGAGGTGACTGGTTTTCTTTCAGATTGATGGAAATGTTTTAGAATTAGATAAAGGAGTGGTTGCTCAACATCGTGAATGTACTAAATGCCATGAATTGTACTTGTTAAAGTGGTTAATGTTATGTTATGTGTATTTTGCTGCAATAAAAAGAAAAAGCCCGTCTCACTACAAGGATATTTATGTGGCTCAAATCAGGGGGTATCTTGAAACAAGGGTTAAAGGGCATTGCTGTTGGAAACCATCACACGGGGTACAGTTCAAGGTTCTTGGAATCAAGAGTCCCTGTGCTTTATCCTTATAGAGACTTTTTCTGTGACCTGAGGAAACTCATGTTTCCATCTGTCTAAAAGAATTTCTTTCCTGACTCTTTTCCTCCTGTGGTGGCTTTGGTGACCCTTTGATGACTTCTCCTTTCATTGCACCTCATAACTAAGACTGTGTCACAGGTCATCCCTGAACCAATTCTGGGCAAAGGAGATGTTGCTCTAAAGCATGAGACCAGTCATGGTTTATCCCCTGCAGCTACAGGCCCCACTCCTCAGCATAGTGTTACCCTGTGTGACTGAATCTGCAATGTGTTAACAAGGAAAGCCCCCCAAAACAGGGGCATGACTGTTGGGAGGGCCCCCAGCAGGGCATCCCAGAAGAAAGTTTCACATTGGCCTTTGGGCCTCCACCTAAACAAGCCGTTCTTGTGCTCGGCCTCAAGGTCATTAGTCCTTCCTTCCTCCCTCCCTTCACCTGCCTTCCCTTCACCTGCCTTCCCTTCCCCTGCCTTCCCTTCCCCTTCTCCTTCTCCTTCCCCTTCCCCTCCCCCTCCCCCTCCCCCTTCCCCTCCCTCCCTCTCTGTTGCCCAGACTGGAGTGCAGTGGTACCATCATGGCTCACTGCAGCCTTGACCTCCTGGGCTCAAGAGATCCTTCCACCTTGGCCTCTCAAGTAGCTGGGACTGCAGGCATGTGGCACCACACCTGGCTAATTTAAAAAATGCTTTTTTTGTAGAGATGAGGTCTCATGTTGTAGCCCAGGCTGGTCTTGAACTCCTAGGCTCAAGGGATCATCCAATCTCAGCCTCCCGAAGTGCTGGGATTACAGATGTGAGCCACGACGCCTGGCCATTGATTGTCTTAAGCACAGATCCCATCATTCCTGCTCGGAAATCTCGAGTGGCTCCCTAGGGACTGTGGAAGGAAGTTCAGATTCTCCTTCACTGAGCATTCAAGTCCTGTCCCAGTCCCATTATCTGAGTGTTCTCTGTACCTTTTCTTCTGGAAGGAGCGGTTGGTTGCCACACTGTGTGGTTCCAGCCTTTCATTTTTTCTAATGGTTCTTTCTGCCAGGAATGACTTCTCTCTCCTTCTCACTCTTTTGAAATTGTGCCATCTTCTGGCTCAGCTCATTTTTTCCTGAGAATCATGTGTCCCTGGCTCCCAACTTATGTTCATGTTTGTGGTGTTTGTGTCTGCCTGACTATCCTGTACACTCTCTTGAGGCCCCTCAAGAGCAGGGGCCCATGTGCTGACCATCTCTGCATCCCCATTCTCCAGCCCTGGACCTGGCCTAGCATGTACCCCAGTCAGTAGGTGCCTTGTGGACTGTAGTGAATGGCAAAGCGTAGAGAAAAGGTAAAGCAATAGCTGTCTTCCCTGTATCATTTGGCACCAGAGATATTTGTATGAAATCTCCCTAGGCCTTGGAACTTGGAAGAACAATACACTGCACGTTAGACAAGTCAGGACCCTTCAACACTAAGGGATGCCAGAGTGCATTTCCCAGTATTGGTCCTTGTGAAATGCTTATGTGTATTTGCTTAAGCAGAATGAAAATGTGAGGCCTGCCTGCTTACGTCGTCCGTTTCCAGAATGAAAATCGGAAGAACAAAGATCGAAATACTCCAAGGCAGGGCTTCATAGGTAGTCCCATGGATGTGATTAAGGGCTGATTTAACATTCAGAAGAAAAACATAAAAACCAGCCTTCTTGAAGCTGTAGTCTGACCTTGGGAAGAATGTATATCCTCAGGAAAGATAAATTTGCGTTAAAGACCTCTTTGGCAATGCATTGTTGAAAGAGGTTAATATTGTAAGTGGAAAATTTTGATTACTTCTCGATTCTTTCCTCCCATTTGCTTCTGTACCTGTGTCACCCCAGAGAGATCTCTATGCTAGAAGTAATGTCCACACCACCTGCCTGCCTGTGGCTCAATTAAACTTGAGTTCCTGCCCTTTTAAAGTACAATCCAGATTGTGTGCAACAATACAAAGGGTGGAAATTAAGAAAACTCATTGGGATGCAGATCAGTGCACTTCACTTCCCCAAGCCAAGGGAGATGACTCTGGAGGAAAAGATAAAGATGACCACAGTGAATTTGCAGGTCATCTTTTGTGCATGTGCTTGGTTGAAACATCCTTGGAACCTTTCAGTGAGGGAAAGGTCCTCTCTGAAGAAGTGCTTGCCTTAAACCAGGTTTTCTCAGTCTCAGCCTTATTGTCATTTGGGGCATAATCCTTCTTTGTTGTGGGACTGTCCTGTGCCTTGTAAGATGTTTATTAGCATTCCTGACCTTGACCCACCCGATGCTGGTAGCATCCCACCCTCCTGAGTCTTTTTTTTTTTTTTTTTAAGACAGTGACTTGTTCTGTCACCCAGGCTGGAGTGCAGTGGCGCGATCTCGGCTCCCTGCAACCTCCACCTCCTGGGTTCAAGTGATTCTCCTGCCTGAGCCTCCCCAGTAACTGGGATTACAGGCATGCACCACCATACCAGCTAATTTTTGTATTTTTTAGTAGAGATGGGGTTTCACCATGTTGGCCAGGCTGGTCTCGAACTCCTGACCTCAGGTGATCCACCCACTTCAGCCTCCCAAAGTGCTGGGATTACAGGCATGAGCCACTGAGCCCCGCCAACCCCCCAGTCTTAATAATCAAAATTGTCTTCACATTGCCAAATGTCCCCTGGGGTAAATTACCCCCTATTGAGAACCACTGACTTAGAGGCTCCCCATGGGGAAAAGCAGAGTTGGTGTGGGAAAGTCTAGCAGTTAAAAGAGGCAGCAGGTGGAAAGGCAGAGAAGTGTGAGGCCGCATAGCAGCTTTGCCCATGTGGTGTTCCTGGATTAGAAGGTGTGATTTGGACCATGCCAGGGTATGAAGCTGGAAAGGTCAGGTCGACAGGGATCCGATTTTGGAGGCCTTTGCTACCAAATTGAGAGAAGCACATTCAATTTGAAGCTGGAAATCTTGGGGTTATTCCCAGTGCCTCTCTTACAGCTGTGGGACCTAAGCCACTTAACCTCTTTGAACCTCAGTGCCCTTCTCTGTTAAGTGGAGTCGCACAGATGGATTGTAAAAGTTGAGTGAATTAAGGCCGTGTGAAAGTGTCAGTATGGTACCTGGGTATCCTAGTTGCCCAATAAATGTTTTCTTCTTTCCTAAGCACTGTCACATCCAGTTAAATCCGGTTCTCTATAGTTCTGCTGCCACTAACTCCTGCTGCTATTTATCCAGCCTGTATTACGGCAAAGCTTCCTGGGCTGTCTGCCTCAACTCCATTCTCAGTCTGATGTAAAGGTTTAGAAAATACTGAAACCTGCACAGTCCAGCACGGTGGCCACTAGCCCATGTGGCTCTTAAGCACCTGAAGCGTGGCTACTTCAAACTGAGATGTGCTGTCAATGATAAGATGCACTCTGTATTTGAAGACCAAGATGAGAAAAAGAACTAAAGCGCCTCATTAGTAATGCTTTATATTGATTACATGTTAACATGCTAATATATTAAGCATACTAGGTTAAATAAAATATTAAGATTAATGTCTGGCTGGGCATAGTGGCTGACACCTGTAATCCCAGCACTTTGGGAGGCCAAGGGGGACGGATCACCTGAGGTCAGGAGTTCGAGACCAGCCTGGCCAACATGGTGAAACCCCCATCTCTACTAAAAATACAAAAATTAGCTGGGTGTGGTGGCACGTGCCTGTAATCCCAGCTACTCGGGAGGCTGAGTCAGGAGAATTGCTTCAACCCGGGAGGTGGGGCTTTCAGTGAACCGAGATCGTGCCACTGCACTCCAGCCTGGGCCACAGAGCAAGACTCCGTCTCAAAAAAAGAAAGAAAGAAAGAAAAAAAAAGATTAACGTCTCCTATTTTTTTTAACCCTTTTTTTAAGTCAACTGTGGAGAATAAGGTAAGTTTTGTAAGAGTGGCCATTGTCTTATCCAAGGAAGCCTATTGATTCTTCATGAGAGAATCATTTTCTGGTGCTAAATTTTGAGACATAATTTGTTTCATAGGGGTAGTCTCTTTTGAAAAATGGATATGGTCCCTTCAAGAAGAGCAGTAGCATATTGAATAATGTGTTTGGAGGAGTTTTTTTCCATCCGCCCCTCCACCCCCACCCCACCCTTCTGGTAGATGTAAGAGTATTCTTTCCTTTTTCAATAGTTCTTCCTTTTCCAAGATACACAGCCTTGAGGCAGAATCAGAGCACATCTTCCCCACCTCACACATGATTTGTGGTTATCAAAGCAAACAAACAGTAGTGTCTGTACTGTCCTTAGATTTTGATTGGTCGAACAGCTATAGTCAATCAATTTATTTTAGTCCTATTAATACTACATAGCATCTCATATTGTTGTTTGATAATCGTATTTTGGATTTCATTTGATCTCTTGCAATCCTTGCAACAACCACGAGTGCCTGATATTGCCATGGGCTTTCCCAGAAAAATGACGGGAGGCTCCAGGATAACAAATCAGTTGCCAGGCTCCTGCAGCTTGTATCTGCAGAGCTGATGCTTGAGGCCAGGTTTCCTGACTCCCAGAGCTTTGTAAATGCTGTGAGGCCCATGTGAAATGCAGACTGTGCCTTGGAGTTTGCTTGTTATATAACAGAGACAAGATGGGCACAATTCGGGTGACAACTAATGTGTCTTGACTGCAGAGCTGTATGAAAATGGGTGGTTGAGGACTGTGTTGGATGCCTCAGGGGGCCACTGCCCCGATCTGTGACACCACAGTGGTTCTGAAGGCAAATGTACATGTTTCTCTGCAGCCAGAGAATTTGACTTCGCAGCAGGATCAAGACAAACTGAGTTGGCAGGAGTGGACCCTTGTGGTCCTTTCAACATAGTGAACTCGAAATTTTCAATGTTTGTTTGAGAGCATATTGCGTGCGGCTTTTAAATTAGAGTTCACATGATGAATCTTTAATAGTGCCTCCAAGGCCAAGTGCCATTAGGAAGTGCCAGTTTGACAGGCCAGAGGATCACCTTCAGGGAGGAAATTCCACAGAGATGCTCGCGTGGCCCCAGACCCGGAGGGAGGCACCAGTTGCTTCCTGTGTGGTCATTCCCATGGAGCAGGGAGAAGGAGAGAAAGTTACCAAAGTGAACTTTGCAAATGACCTCACGTGCACGAGAGGGTGTCTGAGGGGCAGTACCCCATTGCCTCAGGGACCTGTGTGGGATGCTGTGTGGATTCCATTTCTCATGTTACAGATGTTGTACAGTCAGACAGCTAGTTGCTGGACCTTTGTTTTAAAAGGGTTTATTGGAGCAGTATGAGAGTGACTGCAGGCCGCCTGATGATGGCACATTCGTTCATTCATTCATTCATTCATTCATTCATTCAGCAGATACTCACTGAATGCTTCCCATGCGTCTGGATATACCTTGAATATAAAGTAGTCATGGTTTATGCCCAAGTAGAGATTAAAATCTAGTGGGCGCAGCAGCGATTAAGCAAGTAATCAATCAAATAATTGTTTAATTTAGAAATTTGATGAGTACTATGAAGAAAATGACCGCAGCACGGTGATAGACAAAGTTGGGGAGGGGGCTACTGAGGCATAGGATTGTCTGGGAAGAGTTCTCTGAGTTGACAGCATTCAAGATCCAGTCTAGAGGGATAAGGATGCAGTCCAGCAAAGAGCCCAACATAAGCATTTCAGGCACAGGGAGCACACTTGCAAAGACCCTGAGGCATGTTCCAGAAGTGAAGGGGTCAGTGTGGCTGGAGTAGAGCAGAGAGAGTGGCCAGAGACAAGGTCGGAGAGATCGAGGTCAAGTCAGGTGCTTCTAGGTGGAGCAAAGAGTTTGGATTTAAGAGTTGATGAGAGACACTGAGTAATCTCCTTTTTTTTTTGAGGCAGAGTCTCGCTCTGTTGCCCAGGCTGGAGTGTAGTGGCGTGATCTCGGCTCACTACAGGCTCTGCCTCCTGCGTTCACACCATTCTCCTGCCTCAGCTTCCCGAGTAGCTGGGACTACAGGTGCCCGCCACCACACCTGGCTAATTTTTTGTATTTTTAGTAGAGACGGGGTTTCACTGTGTTAGCCAGGATGATATCGGTCTCCCGACCTCGTGATCCACCTGCCTTGGCCTCCCAAAGTGCTGGGATTACAGGTGTGAGCCGCCGCGCCTGGCCAACACTGAGTAATTTCAAGTGGAGTTTGAATGAGGCTGCTAATGCAGAAGCCACGGGCATGGGGCGATGGTAGCTTCGATTCGTATAGTGGCAGGAGAAATGGAGAGAGGACGATGTATGCGAGGCATGGAATAGCAGAAATTTGCCTGAATTGGAGATTGCGTGGATTGCCCAAGATGAGCTGTTTGAGTGAGGAACTGAGAATGGCTCCCATAATATGTGGCTTGAGCAATGGAGTAAATGATGTTGCCCTTTCTGGAGCAGGTTTGGAGGAGGAAATCAGGAGTTGAGGTCTGAGATGCATGTGGGTTTATCCAGTGGGTATATAGGAAGAAGGTCATTGTACACATGGACCTGGAGCTAAGAAGAGAGGCCAGAGCTACAGGGAGGAATATGGGAGTCATCAGCCGGGAGATTGTTTTGCAAGCTGTTGGCATGGGGGTTTTCACCTAGGGAGAGAAAGAAAGTGTGGATCCCACATTGAATCCTGGAATACCCCTAAAATTTATCATTCAGGAAGGAAGAGGTTTGAGAAAAAAAATGTATGAAATAAGTATCTCAGAGGTTGGAGAAGTGAGTTTACTAGAGAAAGGCAGTAGCATTTCTGAGCAGTTGAGTGCCCATTTGAAATCAGAAATGATTAACTGAAACATATCTGCCAGCCTGAGAGTGTGATTTCCTACCCCATTTGGCTTCACACATAAAGCTGTGAAGAGCAAGGAGGGTTGCATTCATCTGAAGCGTTGGATTTTCCCAGGCTACTGCAGTCTGAAACAAAAAGGGCCAAGGGAGGGGCGAGTACTTACAGAAGGGGATTATAGTAACAAACCGTGGCAGCATCTACGCTGAACAAGAGAGAATACAAAAAAAAAAAAAAGCAAAAAAATAGACCTGGATAGAGAGTATGATAAAGAAGGGCAGTGGATTGGGGATCATGATGACAGTAAAGAATCTATGCAATTGTAGCCTTGGAGGGCTGGCAACGGGATTGTGGGAGATTGTGTGGGGGACTGTGGGGGATATTGACATTTTAAACCATGCA
Organism: Homo sapiens; assembly: GCF_000001405.40. Taxonomy (NCBI): domain Eukaryota; kingdom Metazoa; phylum Chordata; class Mammalia; order Primates; family Hominidae; genus Homo; species Homo sapiens. The sequence goes on along the minus strand of NC_000022.11, from coordinate 33,771,009 downwards.
GGTTGTGCTGCTTTGGGTGATGACAAGGCCTAGAATGTGAACCTGGTTAATGTGAAGTGGCAGATATTTTGGATGGGCATTTTCATCATGGAAGTAAGTGGAGAGGAGGAAGAATGTGAGAATGGTCACGCGGAGATTACAGTTATCAAGAATGGGAGGAGTAAATGACCTCCCATTTGGATTATGGGCAGTTTCTTGGTGTGATGTGGGGGATTGTATGTACACACACATGCACACACATACACATAAAATTTTTTTTTAATCTGCAGTAGCAATATAGGATATTGCCTTTCACCTTTTTTGCTTTTTTATTTTCTATTTTTTAGAGATAGGGTCTCACTCTGTTGCCCAGGCTGGAGTGCAGTGGTGTGATTTTTAGTTCACTGCAGCCTCAAACCCTTTGCTCAAGTGATCATCCTCCCTCAGCCTCCGGAGTAGCTGTGACTACAGGCAGATGCCACCATGCCCAGCTAAAGTCTTTACATTTTTTTAGAGTTGGTAGGTCTCTCTATGTTGCCCAGGCTGGTCTTGAACTCCTGGCCTCAAGCAATTCTTCCCCCTTTGCCCTCCCAAATGTTGGGATTATAGGCATGAGCCACTGCACCTGGCATGTCTTTCACCTTTTAAGTTCAGGGAACAGTTTCTCCTGGCTACACATACGTTATCAGTGCAATGCTTTATGAAGCTTTAGAAATGAGCTGATGACTTTCATAAATAATGAAATATAAACATGACATTATTTTAGTATCTTCAAACAAATGATCTGAGGATGAGTTACACATTTTAATATCAACACTAACTTGTAATTTGTACATTTGCATTGGCTATACATGCAAAAAGATTATTAGCTACAATGAAATGGATTCCTTAATATCTATGACATTCTACCTTGCTAATGCTATAGAATAACTTGCACTTTAAAGTACATTTGCACACTTTGCATATTATGTTCTATGATTGCTTCTGGGTTTTCCATACAGATTATTTTTGTTGATATTAAATGGAAATCGTAGGGCTGAAATATGCTGTTCTTATGTGAAGTAAATTACTATAACCTGTTGGCCTAAAAAAAAGAATGAGAGCTGTGACCAGTAGTTGCCAAGGACAGGGAGGACGATAGTGAGCCACAGTGGAACAGGGGTCTTCATTAGAGAGAGTGGCAGGAGGATCCAGGAGAGACAGCTGGAAGCCAGAAGGACAGAGGCCCATTTCTTTTCCCTTAGTTGGGTACATGCTTTGCAAGAGGGTAACAGATCTTTCTTTTAGGGGAAGCAGTGATTTAGGGGACAGCTCCACTTTCACATAAAAGCAAGAGGCAGAATGACGTGAGAGGAAGGAGGTTGAACATAAAGAGGAGTTTTCTGATCTCATAGTGTAAGTTCCACAGCATTCCATAGATGGACTTGGAGGGGAAGGGTGGGCTGAGGGGTATCGTGTGATTGGAGTAGTTTGTATGATAATGAATATCCAGTGAGACTGCTGCCGTGATGGAGATAGTCATTGATCCATTCAATAAATATTTATTGATTAGCTTCTTGTCTATATGCTAGATACTGTGCTAGTAATGAACAAGGCAGCAGTGGGCAAAATGAACAAGTCCCTGCCCTTGTGACACTGATGGTCTGATAGGGGAGATAGACCGTAAAGGAAACAATACGAGAATTTGCGTGCCAGGATTTCCAACCACTAAGTCAGTGTCTTTAGCCTCTCTTAGTCTCAGTTTTCCATTTGGTAAGGTGGGTGTAATGAAGTGGGTGGTGCTGGTGCTCTTCAGTCAGTATTCACTTGTGGGGGAAGTTTTTGATGAAAAGTCGGGCACATCATCAGAGCCAACCCTAGTCCGTAGATGTTTTTGTTTAGTTAGAAAAAGGCACGTGTTGAGAAACTCTGCTTTCATCTCTTAGAAAGCTGTTGTAACAAATTTGCAATCAAGGAAGTCTAGGATGTGAACAGTTTGCCCTACTGCACTGGCGGATTCCTGCCCTGGTGAAGTGAGGAGCAGAGAGGAGAAGGGGTGGCCAGCTCTGTTTATTAACCAGTTATTTACTAGGTGCTTTAGTACAGGCTTCTCAAACATTCGTGTATATATGAATCACCTGAGATCTTGTTAAAATGCCAGTTCTGATTCAGTGGGGCTAGGGTGAGGCCTGAGATTCTGCATATCTGAAAAGATCAGCTGATGCTAATGGCTGTTGGTTCAAGGACCACCCTTTGAGTAGAGGTGGGTTGGTGTAAACATTCCTTGGTCTTAGATGCTGGTCTCAGGGAGAGGCTTAAAACTAACCCTGGAAGACCTAGATCCTTTGCCCAGAAGGGGTTTTAGTCGAATGAAGAGAGATCAAGTAATGCACAGGAAATGATTAGAAGATAATTAAGTGATTAGGAGTGTGCTGCTGACTCCTGTTGGTGTTGAGAAGCAAAAAGGGAGAGCCTCCGGGACTAGACTTGACAGAGAAGTCCTATAGAAGCAGTGAAGACTTGATTCTATTGAGGTCCCAGAGAGGAGGAAAGACATCTAGGATACAGTAGGCAGGGCGGGAGACTGTGTGTGTGTGTGTGTGTGTGTGTGTGTGAGCGCGCGCGTTGGATTGTGGCTTGGGTAAAGGTGTGCAGTAGGAAAATAATAATGACAGTAATATAAATAATGATAATAAAGCTAACATCTTTCAATGGTCCATCTGCCATAGGACTTGGTTTTTTTTTCTTTGGAGTGGGACGGAGTCTCGCTCTGTCGCCCAGGCGGCACAATCTCTGCTCACTGCAAGCTCCGCCTCCTGGGTTCACGCCATTCTCTTGCCTCAGCCTCCTGAGTAGCTGGGATTACAGACACCTGCCACCACGCCTGGCTAAGTTTTTGTATTTTTGGTTGGTATGGGGTTTCACTGTGTTAGCCAGGATGGTCTCAATCTCCTGACCTCATGATTCGCCTGCCTCGGCCTCCCAAAGTGTTGGGATTACAGGCGTCAGCCACCACGCCCGGCCTATAGGACCTGTTTTATAACAAAACCTCGGTGATGTCCAGCTCTTTCTCTTCAGGTGCTGGGACAGCACCTTGTAAGAAAGGTTCACTGAAGACGAGTGACAATGTGTGAGTGGCAGGATTCAGGCAATCTTCTAGTTAGAATCAGTGGTCCAAATCCTCCCACTGTTATATGCACCTAGGATCAGTTTGGGATCCTAAGCAATTCTGAAGGGTTTGAGCCATTTTGTTTCCCCATATATGTGTGTGTTTGTGTGTATGTGTGTGTATATATTTTTTTCTTAGATTTTTATTCCTTCTTCATGTGCAGTGTTTCTAGACAATCCACACATCCTGAACACCCATGAAAAATTATTTCTAACATCCATGATGCTAATTAAAAGACAGCCTCTGGTGCTGATGAGAGATAGCTGGCGCACACGCTTGGAATGTAGGCTTCTGACTGGAGTCTCTCAAATGGTAACTAGCCACCCCTGGAGGGTGTATTCCCAATTAGGACACGAGAGATGTTAACTCACTGCACTGAGCTTGTAAATTAAAGCTTATATATATAATATATATGTATATATATTAAAGCTTATATATATACATATATATACATGCATATATATGCATATATATTTTATACTGTCTGTGCTGAGGTATTTTGAATTGCAAGCAATATAATTAAGACATAGAGATCAAAACTTTTAAATAACATTTATTTATGAGATGGAGTCTTGCTCTGTCGCCCAGGCTGGAGTGCAGTGGCGAGATCTCAGCTGATTGTAACCTCCGCCTCCCCGGTTCAAGCAATTCTCCTGCCTCAGCCTCTCCAGTAGCTGGGATTACAGGCATGCACCACCACGTCCAGCTGATTTTTTTTATTTATATTTTTTAGTAGAGACAGGATTTCACCATATTGCCCAGGCTGGTCTTGAACGCCTGATGTCAGGTGATCCACCTGCCTCGGCCTCCCAAAGTGCTGAGATTACAGGTGTGAGCCACTGTGCCTGGCCAATTTTTAAATAACTTTTAAATTGTAAAAGCAATGCAGGCTCCTTGTATAAAATTTCAGGAAGTATATATATATATATATATATATATATATATATATATATATATATATATATATATGTATATGTTTAAATTAGTCATATTCTATACCAAAAGATAATTTACAACATTTAAGCCTTTTTTTCTTATATAGGTATATAGGTTATTTGTACACGTATATAAAATTTATTGCTTTGGACTGAAGGATACTTGTGATCACATTATATAATACATTTAGCTTTGAATCCTGTGTTTGTAGCTTAACAGATCAGCCAGGCATGGTGGCTCATGCTTGTAATCCCAGCACTTTGGGAGGCCGAGGCAGGTGGATCACCTGAGGTCAGGAGTTTGAGACCAGCCTGGCTAACATGGTGAAACCCTGTCTCTACTAAAAATACAAAAAATAGCTGGACGTGGTGCCTGGCACCTGTAATCCCAGCTATTCGGGAGGCTGAGGCAGGAGAATGCGTGAACCCGGGAGGCGGAGGTTGCAGTGAGCCAAGATCACGACATTGCACTCCAGCCTGTGCCACAAGAGAGAAACCGTGTCTCAAACAAAAACAAACAGATCATGGTGATTTTTTTGGGTTCATACAATGTTCTTCATAAATGTAAATTTCATTGGTTAAGACAGATGGGAGACGACAGATGGAGTACATGTTTAGGAGGAGGAGTTGACCAGCTTGGCCGAAGAGTTGGATCTTGGAGTTGAGGGAGAGGTGTTTAGGGATGACTCTTAGACACCTGGGTTAACAGGTGGGGAGGCCTCCCTCACACCAGGGAGCAGTAGGGAGACAGCAGATTAGAGGCTGGTTTTCCCAGTTAATTCGCCAACATTTGCACATGTTCGTGATGTAATTTCCAGCCCACCTCCTGTTTCTTCCTTCCGTTCTTCTTGTGTTGATTTCTGTGTTGACTTCCTGGAGTAACTTCTGATATAGATTGAGATTTTTCTTAAAAATGTGTTTTTAGTACACAGAGGTGTCATTTAAAAGTGAAATTCATGAAGGAATATTTTTTACCTGCTGGGTTTAATTTCAGATGCCTGTGTTATCATAAAAGGGGAACCACCATAGATTCTGTTTTAAAACTTTCTACAAATTGTATGTGTTGATATTAACTTCTGCAGATGGAGAGAGGAAAAGAGGAAAGTAAGTATCTTATTAAAGAGTTTTTTTCCCAGTGTTATTTGAATATTATTAATGCCAAATGAGTTCAGTTCCTATCCTCCTCCCTTCCTTTAAAAGTTTAAATTTGTCTATAACTTTTTTTTTTTTTTTTTTTTTTGTGAGATGGAGTTTTGCTCTTGTTGCCCAGGCTGGAGTGCAATGGCATGATCTTTGCTCACTGCAACCTCTGCCTCCCAGTTTCAAACGATTCTCCTGCCTCAGCCTCCCAAGTAGCTGGGATTACAGGCGCCCACCACCATGCCCAGCTAATTTTTTGTATTTTTAGTAGAGACCGGGTTTCACTATGTTGGCTAGGCGGGTTTTGAACTCCTGACCTCAGGTGATCCGCCCGCCTCAGCCTGCCAAAGTGCTGGGATTACAGGTGTGAGCCACTGCACCCAGCCCTTGTCTATAGCTTTTTAATGCCTTTCTATTGTACTTTTTTCTGGAATGAGAGTTAACAGTTATGATATATTTCACCCTGGGAAAGAAATAATCATAATATTCAATATGAAGGATTTAGGTTAAAGTAAAAGGAAAAACACCCTCTGGCAAGAGTTCTTAGGATCAATTGCTGAGGGAGAGCAGAGCCTGAGGTGTTTTTGCCTCTTACTAGTAGTGTATAATCCTTGGCCAGTTAATTAATCTCTCTAGGCCTTAATTTTCTCATCCGTACAGTGGGGACTGGAAATAGTGTTTATCTCGTAGGTTATTTTGAGAATTACATAAGCAGCTATATGCAAAAAAATATAGAAAAGTGCTTGACATATAAGTGCTACTTACTGCTAGTTGCCTTGACTTATTGCTGTAAGTAAACTGTGAAAACAAAAATTGTGATTTTAATGTTGTGATACAGTCAGCCCTTCATATCTGAGGGTTCCACATTCACAGATTCAACCAACTGTGATTGAAAGTCTTCAGGAAAAAAAACGGATGGTTGCAACTGTACTGAACACGTGCAGACTTTTTTGTCGTTCTCTAAACAATACGGTATAACTATTTATGTAGCATTCACATTGCCTTCGGTATTTTTTGGTTAAGTTTTTAAAAAATTTATTATTACCATTTTGAGATGGAGTCTTGCTGTGTTGCCCAGGCTGGAGTGCGGTGGCACAATCTTGCTCACTGTAACCTCCGCCTCCCGGGTTCCAGTGATTTTCCTGCCTCAGACTCCCAAGTAGCTGGGATTATAGGCACATGGCACCACACCCAGCTAATTCTTGTATTTTTAGTAGAGACAGGGTTTCGTCATGTTGGCCAGGCTGGTCTCAAACTCCTGACCTCAGGTGATCTGCCCACCTCGGCCTCCCAAAGTGCTGGGATTACAGGCATGAGCCACCTGTAATACCCGGCCTGCATTAGGTATTATAAGTAATCTAGAGATGATTTTGAGTAAAGTATATAGGAGGATAGGTGTAGGTTATATGCAAATACTATGCCCATTTGTATGAGGGACTTGAGCCATCTGTGGATTTTGGTATCTGTGGGGGGTCCTGAACCAGGCCCTCACAGATCCCTAGGGAGAACGGTAACTCTGGAAGGAGAATTGAGTAGGTGGATCCTTCAGGTTTAAATCACCTATCTGGCATATTGGGCAATACTTGTTTGTTGGAATCTGTTTTCTACCCAATCCTGTGGGGGAAATGTGGGAGTAGAGAGAGATGAAAACCTCATTAAGGGTCAGGTGCGGTGGCTCACGCCTGTAATCCCCGCACTTTGGGAGGCCGAGGTGGGTGGATCACAAGGTCGAGAGATTGAGACCATCTTGGCCAAGATGGTGAAACCCCATCTCTACTGAAAATACAAAAACTAGCTGGACGTGGTGGCGTGTGCCTGTAATCCCAGCTACTCGGGAGGCTGAGGCAGGAGAATCCCTTGAACATGGGAGGCGGAGGTTGCAGTGAGCTGAGATCACACCACTATACTCTAGCCTGGTGACAGAGTGAGTCTCTGTCTCAAAAAAAAAAAAAAAAAAAAAAAAAAAAAAGCAAACTAATTAAGGCTGCTTTTCTGCCCTCCAGGAAGGAAGGATTGCCCCTGAAATGTACTTAAAATATCTTTGGTAAGCACTTCATTAAAGGCTCTCTCATTTGAGCCTCAAAGCAACCCTCCAAGATAAAGGGTATCATCTTAATTTATAGATGAATAAGGAAGCTTATCCAGAGACAGGGGACTTGGTCAAGGTCACAGCCAGTCAAGTGCAGCATCTGGGCTTGAACCCACATCTCTCTAACTGCACAGCCCTCTTTTTCTGCACTTCCTGCTCCTAAGAGATTCACGGGACTTGGTGGTTCTTATTCTCTGTGACTGGTGGAATGTGTACGTAGGGTTTGTTTTCCATGCTTTAGACTGAACATTCCCTAGAGGGGACTTTTTTTCAAGTCAACATTCTCTGTTCAAAAGGATTTTGCTTTTTTCAGTTTTACTTTCTAGTCTACACCCTCTAGCCCCGTGGTCTTTCATCTGTTCCAAAAGAATTCCATTTAGAAAATCGTGTCAGATTGGTTGCAGAAGCAGGCTCAGCATTGACAGTTGTGATCGGCTCCATTAGGTGTTTATTATTGGCAACTCACTGAACATAAACTCCTGAAGCTTGAGAGGGTGGCCTTTGGATAGAATCTGATTCCATGTATTCATTTAACAGACAGTTATCAGGCACCTGCAGCTGACAGGCAATATGCTAAGTTTTAAAGAATGCAAGGTGGATCTGATGGGGTGGGTATCTGCCTTCTGGAAATGCTAAGGCTGGTGGGGAAAGGAGTCAGTCCAACCAGACCACCTTCATGGCGGTATAAGGGTTACCCAAGAGGGAAGGATGCATTTGGGAATATGGAAGGGGAGAACCAAGCCAGCTGTTTTATAGACATCTGTTCCTTGGGAATCTGAAGCTTTTTATAGCTGTGTGCAGTGGGTGAGTTCCGCTCTGTTAGGGAAGCACCATGTGGGTTTATCTTTCTTTCCACCTATAGTCAGCGTGACACCTATGTCAGGAGGTGGGTAGAGATGAGGTCTTAGGGTCCATTGGTTTTTTAACTCCTTTGTAGGTTTCATGATTCCCTGGTCAAATAATCAGGTGAAAGATCATGGGCCATCCACTTTGTCTGCACCAACCTGCTCCCTCTTCCGTTGACACATCACGGCCAGTCTTCTGCCGTGGTCTGAGGATATGCCCTCCCCAGGCTGTCCGTTTGTTCTTATCCCTTCTCTGCATGTTTTGATGGTTTCTGTGATTCTCTGGACCTCTTCTTCCATATTGAGGGTGGAAGCTATGAAGATAGTCCCTAGTGAGTGTGTTTAGGCTTTCAGTTGTGACTAGGGTACAGTCCCATGCACATGGAGGTGGTGGCCTCTCCCATCTCCTTGCCTTGGCATGTGCTCTTTAGTCGATACCATTGCCTTTCTCAGTCTCCTCTGCCCAGAATGCTGGAACTGTTCTGCCATCCTGACCACGCACAGGGCAGTCAGCACCTTTATCTGCCCTTCCAGAGTGGTCCATGCACATCTCAGCTTGGGGTTGTTATAGATCTTTTCTGTTGGTCTCTTTCATTAGACTACACTTTTTGAATCCATCCTCTGGTCTAGTCTTTTTTTTTTTTTTTTTTTTTTTTTTTTGAGATAGAATCTCGCTCTGTCTCCCTGGCTGGAGTGCAGTGGCGCCATCTCAGCTCACTGCAACCTCCGCCTCCCAGGTTCAAGTTATTCTCATGCCTCAGCCTCCCATGTAGCTGGGATTGCAGGCGTGCCACCATACCCTGCTAATTTTTGTGCTTTTAGTACAGACGGGGTTTCACCATGTTGGCCAGCTGGTCTTCAACTCCTGATCTCAAGTTATCCACTCGTCTCGGCCTCCCAAAATGCTGAGATTACAGGCGTGAGCCACTGCGCCCAGCCTATTCTAGTCTTCTTTTGAAACACAGCACGTGGTTCATACGTGGTACATAACAGGTGCTAACTAAATGCTCCTTTAAGTATGTTAGTTCAGGTCTCGAAGTTAACCTATACTATAAATTGTGCGTGTGTATGTGTGTGTGCGTGTTTGTGTGTGTGTGTGAGAGAGCGAGCTTACAGTTTTTGTTATTTACTTATTTATTTATTGTCTCAGTTTTGAAGACTGCGAGACGGCAGCATCATCTCTTGGGATGAAAGGTTAGCAGGAAGCCTAGATCAGTTGAACCCCTTTCAGGATCTATGAGATATTTCTCTTCCATAACTTACACCCATCTCCAGTGCTAAGAACTCAGGCCTTCCTCTTTGCTCTTCCTTTCAGAGAGTATTATGAGGGAGGCCGAGGACTTCATGCTCCGGACAGAGAAACGGCGCTGGGATTAGGGATTGCCACTTCTGAGAGGATGCTGGGAATCTGCAGGGGGAGACGGAAATTCTTGGCTGCCTCGTTGAGTCTTCTCTGCATCCCAGCCATCACCTGGATTTACCTGTTTTCTGGGAGCTTCGAAGGTAAGAATGGAAGCCAAAGTGAGAGGGAAGGAGGGAAGAAAGGGAACATTAGCTGTCATAGAACCCTAGAAAAGAAACTCAAAGCCATCTAATAGGAATATGTATTTCCAGTCATGGGAAGTGACTTGTCTAGAATCACACAGGTAGTTGGCAGCAGTCAACAGTGTGAGGAGAAAAAGGGAAAAACAAGCAAAATAAGGCATACCTTGATGTAGTGGGAGTGTGGTGGGTACAGAAATGTCAAATCAAGTCAATTACTTTGTCGATAATGGGAGAAAAGGTTGGGCCCTGGAGAAATTACTGAGCTATTCATGGAGCCATATGTTTCAAGAGTTGGTCCATCTTTTCATTCATTTATTCACCCATTCAACATCGTGGTGGTGGTGGTGGTGGTGGTGGTGTTTTTTGTTTGTTTGTCTGGTTTTTTTGTTTTGTTTTGGTTTGGTTTTTTTGAGACGGAGTCTCGCTCTGTTACCAGGCTGGAGTGCAGTGGCGCGATTGTGGCTCACTGCAACCCCTGCCTCCCGAGTTCAAGTGATTCTCCTGCCTCAACCTCCCAAGTAGCTAGGACTACAGGTGCCCGCCACCACACTCAGCTAATTCTTCTATTTTTCGTAGAGATGGGGTTTCACCATGTTGGCCAGGATGGTCTCCATCTCTTGACCTTGTGATCTGCCCACCTTGGCCTCCAAAAGTGCTGGGATTACAAGTGTGAGCCACTGCGCCTGGCTGTGTTGTTGTTATTATTGGATGCCTGCACTAAACTTGGTGCTGAGAATATGGAGATAACAGATCTGGAGATTCACAGGATAGCGGAGGAGACAGATAGGCTAAGAAATGATCGCGGCACGTTGCGATGCGCGTTGTGATGGAGGAAGGCAGGGTGCTGTGGGAGAGGTTTGTTGGAGCTGTCAGACCTGGGCTGGGGATGAAAGATGATCAGTTACATGAGGGGCCGAGCGCAGGGAGGCAACAAAGGATTTGCTCTCCCCAAACAAATAAAAACAAATGATGATCCCTGCTACTTTCCAGAAATCAGTGGGAACAGCAAGACTCACCATTTTTCTAGCCAGCCGTTTCAAATACAGTGCAATGTTTTGCCTGTGAAGATGGTTTTCTAGGCTTCAGAGAGAGAGGGAACGGCAGTGGTGAAGAGCTGACTTTATTTTTATTTACCCCCACACTTGAATTTCAGAAGGAAGATCTCAAATGAAAATCTGTCTCAAGGAAGTCACAACTGTGTTTTTAAACGTTTCCTTTATGCATAATTTTATTGGCAGCTCAAGGCTACCTTTTAATTAGGATCTCCACTTCACTTTCTGAGATTTGCCTTGAGTTAGCTAGACTGAATATAAACAAGGTGAAACTGTGTGCCTGTCTAGCAGGGAGGGCTCAGGATGCTCAGCCCAGTGCCGAGGCCAAGTGACACACCCCTGTCCCTGTTCCCACCCTTTAGGTGCATCCCTGGAACAGTCAGAACCTTCATCTAAGCAGGTAGATAGAGCCAATTATGCCATGGCAGTGGATGGGAAGTTTTTGGAAAAGGGACTAGAGAGAGGAAGGGGAGGTGATGTTGGTCTTGATGTAAGGAAACATTCTCCCAGAGATCATGGAAAAGCCCTTTTTATAAAAGAAGTTAGAGGTACCACCCGTGCTAGTATAGGTTTAATAAGTAGAACATTGACTTTTAACTAAGCTGGTAATAATAATAATGGTATAACAAGGACAGTGATGACAGACACTGTGATTCTGTCATCACAGTGATGACGACAGTACAAACAACTAGTATTTTGAGTATTTCTACAGGCCAGGTATTGTTATAAGGACTTCTACATATGTTTACTCTTTCTTCACAATGATTCTTTGTGCCAGGTGCGTTTAATACACCTGTTTTACAGATGGGGGGGATGAGGCAGATAAGCTTCAGTGATCTGCCCATGGTCCCAGAGGTGGTCAAGATGGAGCCTGGATTGGACTCAAGAGCTTGAGTTGTTAACTGTAATACCATGCTATAGATTGGGGCCTCAATGAGTGATTGAACTTTGGTCAGGGATTTGACAGGGTGTCACACAATCTGGGTGAGGAAAGTTGTAGAATTTTGATTTGCACTCTTTGGCAGAAAGCCAACCCAAATTGATTTTTGGTGAAAAGGGAATTTGATAGTTAATAGGATTTGTAAGTTCAGAGGTAGGGCAGGCTTCAGGCAGAGTTGGATCCAGGGGCTTGTAGCTAGGTCTCCCTCTATCCCTTTGTTCTATTTTTCTCTGCCTTGGTTTTTCTCAGGGTGACTTTATCTACATAGAGGAAGTTTCAGGCTTGCATCCTGTCCTCACCAACCCCAGTAGAAAGAGGATTTTTTCCTTTTGCTAATTCACTAATATTGCCTCTGATTGAATTGCCTGTGGTAACTCCTCCTGAAACCAGTCACTGCGGTTATGGGAGGGGAGTGAGGGAGGCTGGTACTTTTTTGTTAACTTTAAGCCCTGTGCCTATTTCTGGTCACAGGATGATGGAGAGTTGCTTAAAACACGCTGGGTGAGATTGGGTGACTGGGATGGCCACCAAAGGCAAATGGCATGGTTTCCCAAAAGGAAGAGATTAGAAGTTGATCTGGATTATGGAGAATTCATAACTGTCTGTGTTTATGGTTAGATGTGTTGATGGTCAATTTGAAGGCAGCTTAGAACCATCGTGGCCGGTGGAGTGAATGTGATCACTAACTTTGAGCAATTTCACCAGACTGGCAGATAGATTATGGGAAACTGGAAAGATCATGAAAATACTTTGAGGCAACATGACAGACTGGGTGTAGGTGCTGTATCTATCAACATGATCCTTTAGAATGAACCCCACACTTGGGACCAAATCACGAGCTGCATTTAGTAGGGGCTGGGTGATGTGGGCATGTTAACACAGTATTTTAGCTAGGATGACAGAGGCAACAGATTTCTGTTACTGAGTGTCAGTTAGTGTGCATTCGGGCTGCCGCATTTGTATTTGTGGACTCTATGCTGTAAGGACAATCTAGATGAGGCAGCATGCTTAGGAAAATCCAGGTGAGTGACAGTGCCCGTTCAAATCTGGTTATGTAAGAAATGGTGGGAAGAATTGAGGATGTTTACCTTGGAGAAGCAGAGGCTCAGGGTGTACATGCTCAGCTTCAGCAAACAGACAAAGGGCTGTCCCCTGAAAGAAAGATTGGGATTGCTCTGGTGGCCCCAAACCTATGGAGGGACGTGGCAAGGAGCCAGATGTCAAGCTCCTCATAATGAGGATCATGCTGACCAGAGCTGGAATGAGCTGCCCAGGAGGTGGTGAAATACCTGGCATGAAAGATGCAGAAACACAAGTCCAGTATCGTGGGAGGGAGCTGAGCGAGACAGGCAGTTACGCAAGGTGACCCATCTGACCCTGCCTGACCCAGAGATCCTGAGGCTCTGGGAAAGTCTGAGTATTTATCAGAACACAAAGGCAATGCCTCCATGAAGCTCCCTGCTGGTTGCTACAGACAACAGTGCATTTCCCAAAGGGCCCGCAGAGACGTTATTTTCTTTGTAATTAAACATCACAACAACGTTACAATCCATTTATTGACACCCTTGAGTTTTTGGTTTCGTGGCAGGTGAAGCCATAAATAAGGGGCAGAGTTGCTGCCTGTATTCATGGAAATACTATTCATACTTTATGTGGGTTTATTTATTTTTTGACTCTGTTTAATATCAATGGACCTCCTGAGAGCAGAGCCAAGAACTCCCTCTGAGATGTGGCTGCTCTCAGCATAGGGTTTTGGAGTTGGATTACACGCCGCAGCATGATATATTGAGAGAGCCCTGGAGGGGGTCAGCTGTCTCAGGATCTCAAATCACCTCAGCCAGAGGAGCTGGATGATCTGGGGCACACTTGCTCTTCATGGTAGGCCTTCGTTTCTTCCGACGTGAAATGAAGTTGTCGAGTGCACTTAGCAGGGTGCCGACATTCTACCTACAAGCTTCTGATTCTAACGTCTGATGTAAGTGAACTGAAAATGACCAGAATCTTCCCCGATTAAGGGGAATTATGACACTAAGAGGGAGTCGGCTTAGGCTTACTGTGATTTGCTCCTGAGCATGGAAGCAGGATCAATGCATAAATGTTATGGGGAGGCAGGCATTGTCTCCCTGTAAGAAAGAACACCTGTTTCAGCGACTCAGTTGTCAGGCATGGAGTTCACCATCTGGGAAAGAGATGAGATTCCCATTCCTTGAGACACCTTTTGAAGGCCCAGTGACCTCTGGTGAAGGACGCTCATCAGGTGGTGTTTTTGTTAGTGCGTTAACCCCTTAGTTCTTAAACCCAACTCCTTGCTTTATTTCTTTCCCAGTCCACCTTTCTTTCTCTAACATCTCAGTCAGCATTCCCAGCTCTACGCCGTTCAGGCCCTAAACTTGGGAGTAATCCTTGTCTCCCTTCATTCACTCCGTGTCTCGGTTGCCACCTCCTGTTGAGTCTAAGCTCGGCCTTGTAGCTGCGTCAGTTGTTTCCCATCTTTCACCACTGCTGTCGCCCTGGCTCTGCCACTCCTCCTTTGTGATCAGGACTAAGCACAACAGCCCACTTTCTTGCAGGTCTGCTTCGTTCTTCAGACTCCTCAGGGCTGAATCAGAGCACCGCTCTGCTCCTTGTCAGCCCCTCTGGCCCATCCCCTAATCCCCACCATACTGCCTCGCATTATCTGGCATCCTCTACCCAGCCACGCCAGATTCTTTTAAGTCCTGGTGTACATCGCCCTCTGTGGGCTCTGCTCTTCCCACCTGTTCTTTCTTCTCCCTGACACCCTCTATTGCTCTTACTTCCTTCCTCTTCTTTGTCTGGCTGCCTAGATCCTTGGGTCTCAGCTGAAACACAATTAATTGCTCCTGACCCTTAACTAGCAGGCTTCCTTGGCTCCCTATTTACCTAACTCCTTGTATGTACCCTTAATACTCAGGGCTCTTTATTTTTCTTGTTTTTATAATCTTTTGTTTTCACAGCAGATTTACAAGCTTTGGGAATGGAGAAAGCGGGTCTCTTTAGCTCGCCCTTCCACCTCTAGCACCTACTGTAGTGCCGGGAGAAGATTTGGTCCCCAAATGTTTGTTCAATGAATGAGTGAACGAACACATGTGCCCTCCTCCGACTTTGAGTACTGACAGGTCTCATCATTGCCTCCTGGATCCACTGTGGACTCCTTACCATGACTCTGGGGTCTTCCACAATTGTTTTTTCCCCAACCTATACTGTCTGTCTTCAGGGTATAATACCCTGTTGAACTACCTGAGGAAACTATTTCTCTGATTCTTAATTTTCACTCTTGCGGTCTTACTGCCCACTATTCAGTTCTTTTTTCTGTAACCCTCCCTCCCAGCCAACACCTTCAATGCCCATATTCAATGTCATTTTCCCCTAATGCCAGATCCCATGTGGAAACATCTATGACCAGCAGTCATCAAGAGATATTTTGCTTGTTTGATGTCTTTCTAACCACTTACCTATGAGTTTCTTGAGAGAAGGAAGTGTTTTATTCGTCGTTACACTCCCAGTGTCTAACTGAGCACTCGCTCCTAATGTGTCCTTAGTGAATGTTCCCTGGGTAGGACTGTGGTATTGAGGGACACAGGAACCGCTGGTAGGGAAGGGCTCTTGGTGCTGTGAGCATCTGTGATTTTTGAGACCTGAGGACGTGGCTCCTTTCATTTGGTCGTGATGTTAATTCCGGGACTGGAGTGAATCTGCTCAACTATAGCCCCATTTGAATTTAGAGCATACCTGTTATTTTCTATCAGAATCACCTTTTCTCAGAGCCCAGTGGGTTTTATTGTGGGATGTGGTTCTTCTTTTCTGTCCATCAAGGAGATGTGTTCGGCTATTAGAGACTTATCAGCATGTGGAAAAAGGGTGCTTTTCAGCCGTTCAGAAAACTCTTCACACATGCTGCCCTCTGATAATTCATAACCAGCTCGGTGCAAAGGTTTCCCATTGTCAGGGAGGCAGTCCGGGACAATGTGGGTGTTATTTAAAAGCAAATGTCTTCAGAGGATGTGAAGTCCTGAACACTTAAAACCAGTGTCATGAAAAGGCAGAGGATCTTCACTTCTGAACTGATATCAGCCTGCACCCCTGTTTTGTCATTCCTAAAGCCTGAGTTCCCTGTTGCTTCCATTTTTATCAACATGAACCCCCTCTGAAATGAATGTTTTTGAGTGTTGTCACAGTAAATTTCAACAGAAAAAAATACGGTTCCGATACTGGGCTATTTTGAAGACTGGCAGTGAGAGTGAAAGAATTGTAAGTTAAAGCTTTTTCTTTGCCTTATTATTATGGGGGAATCCCAGGGCACTTGTGTGGTGGAATAGGCGGGATGGGGGTGGTGCATTTTATCCAAGGAGGGTTTGTCCAGACATGACTGATTCCCCAGCCCTGTGTCTGCTCCCCCATCCCTCAGCCCCTCATCCCAGAGAGTGTGCTGGAAGGTCTGGGAAGTCAGATTGTACATGGTATTGGTGAATAATCTGCTGGAGCTTTCAGTATCCCCCAAGTCTAGGCTATGCAGCAGCTTTAGCAGGAAAGCCTATTTTTGCTGTCCTGCCAGTGGTCCAAATGTATCATTTAGTAAGGATATTATGGAGTATAAGAACATAGGATGCCGAATGCAAAATGAAATGGGACTTATAATACAAAAGTTGTGTTTTTAAAAAATTGGATCAAAAATGAAGAGCTGGCCGGGCACGGTGGCTCACGCCTGTAATCCCAGCACTTTGGGAGGCTGAGGCGGGCAGATCACAAGGTCAGGAGATCGAAACCATCCTGGCGAATACGGTGAAACCCCGTCTCTACTAAAAATACAAAAAAATTAGCCGGGCGTGGTGGTGGGCGCCTGTAGTCCCAGCTACTTGGGAGGCTGGGGCAGGTGAATGGCATGAACCTGGGGGGCGGAGCTTGCAGTGAGCCGAGATGGCGCCCTGCACTCCAGCCTGCGTGACAGAGCAAGACTCCGTCTCAAAAAAAAAAAAAAGAACTTTTTCAGCCAATGTTTAATAAGTGTTAGTGCTGAGCTTGAGCAAAATCTTGCAACAAATGAAAATGTGAGCATGCAAGTGGGCTGCTCTGAATAGTGCCCAGGTGACACATGCATCCCAAAGAATGCCCAGTGCATGTGTCTGTAGTTCTTACCTTGGGACTGTTAAGAGTCTCTTTAAGGTCTTGGCATCTGAGAGGGCAGTAAAGTCTATCCCAATTATTTGCTTGTGAGATGGTTACAAAGATGACCTCTACTTTCCTTTTACTTTTTTTTAAGATGGAGTCTTGCTCTATTGCCCAGGATGGAGTGCAGTGGCGCAATCTCAGCTCATTGCAACCTCCGCCTCCCAGGTTCAAGCAATTCTCCTGTCTCAGCCTCCTGAGTAGCTGGGATTACAGGTGCCCACCCCCATGCCCAGTTATTTTTTTTGTTTTTTTAGTAAAGATAGGGTTTCACCATGTTGGCCAGGCTGGTCTTGAACTCCTGACCTCAGGTGACCCGCCCACCTTGGCCTCCCAAAGTACTGGGATTACAGGTATGAGCCACTGCACCTGACCTGACCTCTACTTTTCTTATACGTAGCCTTTGGTCTTAAAATAATATTGGCTATCCTGCTAGGGTGGAACAAATAATCCTGCTGCATCCATTGGCTGCATCTCCTTTAAGAGGTCATGGCAAGAGGCCTGGACCAGGAATCAAGAAATGTGGTTGCCGTGAGTCCCAACATGCAACTTGTATGAGTTTCCTGTGGCTGCTGTAACAAACCACCACAAACTTAGTGGCTTAAAAAAAAACCATACATTTATTATCTTACAGTTCCAGAGGTCAGAAGCTCAAAATCATTCTCACTGGGCTAAAGTCAAGGTGTTGGCAAGGCTGGTTCCTTCTGTAGGCTCCAGTAAAGAATCCATCTCCTGGTCTTTTTAAGCTTCTTGAGGCTGCCCGCTTTCCTTGGCTTGTGACGCCTTCCTCCATCCCCAAGGCCAGCAGTGTGGCATCTTCAAATCTTTCTCTCTGATGCTAACCTCTACTTCTGTTGTTATATCTCCTTCTCTGACTGTGACTCTCCTACCCCCCTCTTATTAGGACTATTATTATTATTATTACTATTTTTTTGTGATGGAGTCTTGCTCTATCACCAGGCTAGAGTGCAGTGGTGTGATCTCAGTTCACTGCAACCTCCGACTCCCTGGTTCAAGTGATTCTCCTGCCTCAGCCTCCTGAGTAGCTGGGATTACAGGCACGTGCCACCACGCCCAGGTAATTTTTGTATTTTTTGTAAAGACAGGTTTTCATCATGTTGGCCAGGATGGTCTCAATCTCCTGACCTCGTGATCCACCCGCCTTGGCCTCCCAAAGTACTGGGATTACAGGCGTGAGCTGCCCCACCTGGCCAGACCCTTGTAATTATATTGAGCCTACCCAGAAAATCCAAGATAACAACCCTGTCTGAAAATCCTTAATTTAATGGTACTGGCGAAGCCCTGTTGGCCATGGAAGATGACATATTCATTGGCCATGGGGATTAGGATGTGGACATCTTTTGGGGGGTCATTTTTCCGCCTTCCATACCACTTTCCCACAGTCCCATGCTCCCACATTCTCTCCATCCTCTTCTTGTCCTTTATGGACAGAGCAGAGATGGTGTGCCATGCACTTTTCATATGGACATCTCATCCTTCCCTTGGAGTTTTGGGTTCTTGCATTTGAATTTGACATATATGTATCCAACATTTCATTTACAGCTCATGAGAAAGGCACTGTATTTAGATGTATTGGTCTGAATTGTCTGAATGATTTAAGACCATAATACTTCATCTATGATAGGTGTTTAATCAGTAACTGATGATGCGTTAAGGTTTTCTGAAAAGATAAGTTCAGAATGTCTGCTCTTTGTTGCAGGTTTCCTGGTTTTAAGTCAATTTTATTTTATTTTTTGATTTTGGATACCAATTTAACAAAAGGAGGGAGGATTTTATTCAGAGGGTCCTTTTGATGTTTGAATAGGTCTCTTAATTTTAAGTAAAAGATAGCCATTTATATAACTACTTTGGAAAACTTACCCAAAGTATTACCAAGCAAAGCCAAGCATACCCCATGATCCCTTAGCTCTACCCCTAGCAATACACCCAAGAGAAATGCATGTAGGTGGAAACAAAAGACTAGTACTAGAGTGCTCACATCAGCGTTATTTATAATAGCACCAGACAGGAAACTATGAAATGTTCATGAACACTAAAATGAGAATAGTGGGGCTGGGTGTGGTGGCTCACGCCTGTAATCCCAGCACTTTGGGAGGCCAAGGCAGGCAGATTACTTGAGGCCAGGAGCTCAAGACCAGCCTGGCCAATGTGGCGAACCCCCATCTCTACTAAAAATACAAAATAGCTGGGCTTGGTAGTAATTAGGTAGTAATTAGCATGCTTGTAGCCCCACCTACTAGGGAGGCTGAGGTAGGAGGATCGCTTGAACCCTGGAGGCGAATGTTCCAGTGAGCCAAGATCATGCCACTGCACTCCAGACTGGGCAACAGAGCAAGACTCTGTCTTAAAAAAAAAAAAAGAATAGTGGCACGTTTATATAGTGAAGTACTATAGAGTGATGAAAATGAAATTACTCTCAGTATTGAGCAAAAGAAGACATACACAAAATAATACATACTATAGGATTCCAATTATACCAAGTTCAAAAACAGGCAAAAATTAATGTAGGCTCTTACCAATTCAGATGGTGGTTAACTCTGGTAGGGAGGGTAGAACAGAGACTGGGGCAGGCCCCAAGGAAGACTTTGGGATGCTGCTAATAATTTAATTTTAATTTTTGTTTGTTTGTTTTTGTTTTTTTTTTTTTGAGATGGAGTCTCAATCTGTCTCCCAGGCTGGAGCGCAGTGGCACAATCTTTGCTCACTGAAACCTCTGCTCCATCCCCAGGTTCAAGCGATTCTCCTGCCTCAGCCTCCCAAGTAGCTGGGATTACAGGCGTGTGCCACCACACCCAGCTAATTTTTGTATTTTTAGTAGAGATGGGGTTTCGCCATGTTGGCCAGGCTGGTCTCGAACTCCTGACCTCAGGTGATCTGCCCTCCTCGGCCTCCCAAAGTGCCAGGATTACAGGTGTGAGCCACCACGCCCAGCCTTAATTTTAATTTTAACCTGTGTGATGACTATATAGCTGGGCTCACTTTATGATAATTCACTAAGTATTTCACTTAGGACTTGTTCATTTTTCTGAATATGTTATTTTAGTTTTCAAAAAACTATGCAAATCTTGATGGTAGCAGAATTTGAAGTGATTTTGTAGGTTTTGCATTGTTTTTAGATGAGAGGAATTTTCTTAACCTTTGGGATATGTGAATCTATGTCATTGTTGGGCTTTGAAGTTCAAATGCTTTTTAAGAATGAAACTTTTCTTTAGAGATCATTGTTTAACACTTCTATGTAATGACATTGGCTTTTTTCCTTTCTGATATACCATTTGGACAGATATTCACCCTATGAGAGTGGATCACAGCACTGATTTCAAGATCTGAAATTTACTCATAAAAACCCTAATCTGTATGAGTGTTTTCATCAGTTGGAAACAAGACCAGTATTCTTACCAGCTCTTGCAATGACACGGCTCTAATTAATACTAAAACAATATTACTGCTTGATATTGACCCCAAGCCACATTAGATAATATTCTCCTTTGTGTTATTCAACAAACATGCATTTTCATAAAATCCTTATTCCTGGAAATGGAAAAAAAAAAAACCTTTTATTATTGTATTGTGGAAGATATAGAAACACAAGAAGGAAATGTACTATTTAAACTATAACAATAATGGAAACTGTAGCAATCGTTTCTATTTATCGCATGTTAAACCAAGATTGGCTGCATCTGGCTTGCACTTGTGTTGGGTTTGGCCCGCCTACTGCTTTTACCATTTTTGAATTTGTTGCTAATGGTTAAATATTGGGAGATTGCACATAAGAAGTCATGATTTTTGGCTTTCCCTAAAAAAAGTGAAAAGATCTGCAAAACCAGACCCTCATTTCATCATAGTAGCTACTGGCTGGAGCTGAGTACTGGCTGTCCATGTGCACAGTGCTCGGATGATCCATTTTGTCACGATCTCCATCCTTCCTTGTTGATCCTTGTGTCATCCCTGCACTGTCGTTTACATAGAACAGAATTGAGAGGGAAGAGCTTCTGGTATCTGCGTATGGCAGTGGTTGACTCTGTCTGGCTCATTTAGACTTTGAGTTTCCACCTTTTGGCCTGGTGCTGGGCTAGGAATTTTACACATATTATCTCATTTATTCCCCCAAACAACTTCATCCTTGTCCCATTTTATAGATGAGGAAACTAAGGCTCAGGGACGTTGTACCGTTTGAGCAAGGCCACCAAGATAGCAAGGGAGCCTGTCCTTGTCTAAAAAGGTCCTTTATTCTGCAGTCACTGAAGAACTTGCAGATATAGAAACAACTGGTAGATGACATTTCAAAGTCGATATGCTCAAGCTTTAGACAAGGACGAGACAAACCCTGAGACAAGTGAAAATGGGGTATCTTGGACAACAGAGAAGACATGCGAACTTCTGTGGCTAGCAGGATTCTTATAAGCCAGTATAACGAAAAAATTCAGTTAATCCTTTAATGCAGTTTGCATTTTGTTTCTGTCATAGACTCATATAATCAAGAGAAGGAACGGACATCAGGAGTCATCTAGGCTGGCTTACAGCCTAAACAGATAAAACTTTTGAAAATTACAGAAGGACTTTTTATAGGGCAAATGTTGATGGTTGGGGGAACATAGCCCCCAAGGACAAGTGGATGGGAGTTTGAATTTTAGTAGACATCATTTAAATCACAGAGTGAAATAGACAAGTTACTCAACATCATTGCAGGTCAGTTTCTTCTCCATAAAAAGGAGAGCACAGGGCTGGGCGCTGTGGCTCACAGCTGTAATCCTAGCACTTTGGGAGGCTGAGGAGGGCGGGTACCTGAGGTCGGGAGTTCGAGACCAGCCTGACCAACATGGAGAAACCCCATCTCTACTGAAAATACAAAATTATCCAGGCGTGGTGGCACATGCCTGTAATCCCAGCTACTCTGGAGGGTGAGACAGGAGAATCGCTTGAACCCAGGAGGCGGAGGTTGCGGTGAGCCGAGATTGTGCCATTGCACTCCAGCCTGGGCAACAAGAGCGAAACTCCATCTCAAAAAAAAGAGGAGAGCACAACCTGTAGCTTACACCGCTGTTATAAAGACTAAATGACCTGTTACATCCGACAGTGGTCATTTAACAAATCTTTGTTTTTCCTTTCATTCTCATATTTTTCTAGAATCCTGGAAAGTCTCCTGGGAGGGATGCAAAAACGTCACCCACCTGGTCCAGAGAGACCCTTGTTTTACAACTGAGGAACTGAAACCTAGAGAACTGTGATATAACGAAGCTCACAGCCTCAGCAGCCTTCTTCAGGCATTAGAAAGGGGCAGGGAGAGACTTCCTAACATACTGCAGCTGTGGTCATAAATGCACTGGCACTTCCTTGTGAATGCATTGGCCATGTTTGGAGAAAATTAAATTATTTCATCAAAATGACCTGTAGTGAGAACTTTAAAGAACAAAGAGGAAAGGGCCATCCTCTGATGC
Source organism: Homo sapiens (assembly GCF_000001405.40). Classification (NCBI taxonomy): domain Eukaryota; kingdom Metazoa; phylum Chordata; class Mammalia; order Primates; family Hominidae; genus Homo; species Homo sapiens. Next base: position 33,748,696 of record NC_000022.11, on the reverse strand, counting down.
AGAGTTTAATCACTTTCCTAACAGATATGTTGGATGGGGCTGTCTAAGTCCCAGTCCTCCTTTTAAATGCTGTGTGTCCACATTGAGTCACTTAACCTCTCTTACCGCAAATTGACTCTGCGTAAATTGGGGGTGCTGTTGAGGGTTTTTGCAAGATGAAAACGAGTCCATGGTGCCTAGCATGAATTAGGTTTGCAGAGTCATTTTGTCTCAGCAGCTGCTTTGGATATGTTGACTGTACTTCTGGAAGCAACAGGTCGCTCAAGGAGTCAACAGAGTTGAATATTTAAAGCTACGGGATGGGAGGTGGAAGTGGAGATGGGTGCATCACGAGGTCTGGAGATTGAGACCATCCTGGCCAACATGGTGAAACCCCGTCTCTACTAAAATACAAAAAATTAGGCAGGCGTGATGGCGGGCACCTGTAATCCCAGCTACTCGGGAGGCTGAGGCAGGGGAATCGCTTGAACCCGGGAGGTGGAGATTGCAGTGAGCCGAGATCATGCCACTGCACCTCAGCCTGGCGACAGACTGAGACTCTGTCTAAAAAAAAAAAAAAAACAAACCTGCATTGATAGGAAGAACCCTGGCCATGCCAAGATTCCTTCTTTCTGGGGTGGAGCCTTAGATAATGGATAGTTGGCTTTTTTTTTTTTTTTTTTTTTTTTTTTTGCTCCAGCAGAGGGCACACAGTGCCCCATTTCTGGCACACAGCCAGTGATGGATGCTTGAGGTGGTGTCCCAGCTGGGAACCCTCTCCATTGCACCTGTTGATAACAATTATGATTCATTTGCTTGGCCCTCTTGGACATGAGCTTTCTTGATACAGTGAAATAATCCCCCCATAACCTAATTAGGGAAGAAGGGTTTACCATTTCAGATGAGGTCACTGAGCGCCAGTGCCATTGGGTGGATCACCAAGGTTATTCATTCATTCCGCACACACAGTCAGGCACTGTCTAGGGCACTGGGCATAGAGCCCTGAGCCACATGGGCAAGTCCCCTCTTCTCATGGAGCTTAGTTTTCCTAGTGGATGGAGAGAGATGATGATCGAACAACATCATGCTCTGCTGAGTGTTGATAAGTGCAACAAAGAAAAATAAAGCAAAGTGAGATGATAGTGCCAGGGCAATGGGCTTGGTGAGGAGTGGGGAAAGGGAAATGCTGTGTTAATAGGGTGATCTGGGCAGGCCTCTCTTACTGGTGACATTAAGCAGAGCCAGGTGGTGAGGGGAAGGAAAAGAGTTTCAGGCAGGGAGAAGAGCAAGAGATGGAGAGTGCTTGGTGCTTTTGTAGGATGCCAAGGAGGAGTCTGGGTGGCTGGAGAGAAAGAGAAGAGAGGAGAAGCAACATGGTGGATGAGGTCAGGAGGAGAAGCAACATGGTGGATGAGGTCAGGAAGGGTAGGCAGGGACCTGTCACACAGGCCTGCAAAGTGGATCTTGGCACCTTGGCCTCTGGCTTCTCATTCCTTGCTCTCCTCTCCTCGGGAAGCTTAGTCCTTTCAATCTGGACTTGCCTTTAGCTGCTAATCAAAGTTCAGAGGAACCTGAGAGAGTATTTCCTCTTCTTGCCTATAAGGAGGTCACCTAGATCTCTGGTTCCAGCATTTGCTAGATGATAAGAATCACCTGGGGCATTTGTTTAATATATAGACTTCCAGTCCACCCCGGGGCACTTAATGAACAAGACAGCCCAGAATCCTGCCCTAGATCTACTAAATGGGGTTCCTCAGGGGAGGTGCCCAGGTGTCTGTATTTTGAACAAGTGCCTCTCTTCTGGCCCACTTGAGAAGTTTGACCTGGATTAAGTGCAGCCTCTGGGTTCCTGGTCTCAGCGCCCCCTCCTCCTCTCCTGGGCTCCAGGACTTGGATTTAATAATAACCAGCATGGTAACAACATCGCTGATGGAGTGCCTACTGTTTGTCTTGCACAACAGCCTCACTCCCTATTTTATCTCCTCTGACTTAAATCTTAGTTTTCACACCAAGTGCCTGGCAAATATATTGTTTGTACTTCTGTTAATCATTTATTATGTTGAATTGCACTTCATTTATATAGCATACTTCCTTTTTAGAACTTTCCTGTGGACTCTAATAACATTGCCTACAAAAGTGCCCAGCACAAAGTGCCAGTGCCATTGGGTGGATCACCAAGGTTATTCATTCATTCCGCTGGCCAAGTCATTGTTATTATTATTTGTTTGGATTTCACACACTCCAGATAGTGAGGACTCACCTTTCCGTAGTCATCTCCGAATCCTTAGTCTTTGGCAAAATACCTGAAATAGAGTAGATGCTCAATGAATCTTGAAGTGCCAGAAATAAAAATAATATTAGTTACTATTTATGGAGCATTTATTGTACATCAGGCACCAAGTCCTTGACTTGTAGTAACTAGTTTCTTCCTCAGAACTGTCCTATGAAGTAGGTGCTAATATTCTTATTTTGTTTTGAGACGGAGTCTTGCTCTGTCGCCCAGGCTGCAGTGCAGTGGTGTGATCTCTGCTCACTGCAAGCTCTGCCTCCCGGGTTCACGCCATTCTCCTACCTCAGCCTCCCGAGTAGCTGGGACTACAGGCGCATGCCACCATACCCGACTAATTTTCGTGCTGATATTCTTATTGTGCAGATGGGGGAACAGAGGCACAGAGAAGTTTGAAAATAGGTAAAGCTGAGATTGAACCCAGGCAGGCATGCCTTGTGTGATCTCTCTAAGGTTTCTTTCATTTCTTAAATGGGTATGATTCTAGATCTCTTTTTTTTCTATGTAAGGTCGCTCCCTCCTGGTTAGTTCTCCACAGGGATCAGGTAGAGTTGGTCCTCTCCCTATGTGTGAATAATGCCTCACAGATCCTAGGAAATGTACTAGGTCGGAACTTCCACCCAGGCTCAGTGGGCTCGGTTGTGTCTTTTATCACTTTTCAAGCCATGCATTTTCTTTGCCTCCTGGGATCCTGTGCCAGTTGCCTTGGCTTCTGTGGCTGATGGATGATTGGATCCAGCCTTTCAGGGCAGATTAGGGTCAGCCTGCTCCAAGCAGTAGCGAGAACCGGGCCCTCGCCTTTCCTTTCCTAGAAGCTGTATCTGTGAGTTAACGCTTCTCAAAATGCTGCACTTAGCTCACTTGAGCGCAGTTTGGGGGCAGATTGGTTCTTGGACTCTTCAAATCCCCAGTGCAGACATGAACATAAGCCTTCTGGGTGCTCAGATTGTCAGGGCACACACACGCACTGGTTCTGAGCCAGCACTGAAGGAGACAGGTCTGACAGAGACGAGCACCTCACCCACGGCTTAATTTCATGTTTTGGATAAACACTCAGAGGTGAGTGGCATGAAGGGGCGGATAAGCAAAGATCACCAAGAGTGAGTATTTACAAAATTTTTTCATTTTGCTCTCACCAGTCTTCTTCCTAATAGCTCTTGCTGCTCTGATGGCTCTCTGACAAATAGAAAGGAGGCTGTTTTCCCTCTGGTCCACACCTTTGCTCCAAACAGTCCCTGTATTGCATTCCAGATGCTTCAGTGACAGGTAGTCATCAGAAAGAGACCCTTGGATTGCATATTTTCTTGGCTTCTTCGCTTGTTCTGTTCCCTGGGTGAAATCCCTCGGCTCCTTCAGGCTTTGAGGCAATTCCTTCCCTCGGTCCTTAGTGTGGGATAATAGAAATTAACACTTGGTGGGGCTTTGCCGTGTGTGCTGCTCTAAAGCACTTGCATTTATGTTCATGACACATCACCCAGGGAGGCACTAGCATCACCCTCCTTTTAGAGGGAAAGGCAGGTGCAGGATGTTGAGAAACTTGCCCTAGGTCCCAACCTGTGAGTGGCAGAGCCACTTGTGTGGCCTGGAGCCCACGTTCTCACCCACCATATATACAGTGCATCTTGCTGCCTGTCTTTCCTCCTTCTCCTCCCTCCTTTCTATGACAATCATTTGGCTGTAGGTAGTTCCTCCTCTGTGCTGAGCACTGTACCAGTCAGTAGGAAACAGGGACAATGAGGTGTTTTCCAGGGCGTGAGCGTGGCAGAGCCATCCAGAAGTCCAAGTGTGTCCCCGGTGCAATGAGAACACAGTACATAAAACCTAATAGGGCCCTGTAGGGCCAGAGGTCAGGAGAGGGCATCACGGCAGCAGGCATGCTCTGAGGACCCATGGGAAAGCACGTTGTCATTTAGGAAGACACAGAGGAGCCACATAGCCTGGGCAAGAGGAAGACTAGCAGCTCCCAGGTACGCCAGGCATCCCCATTCCATTCCCATCACAGAGGAGCATCCACCTCCTGGGAGTGGGGATAGTAGGACTGGAGCGGACAGGGGCTTTGCAGTCAGAACACTCAGGGTTTGAAACCTGTCTGTTCCACTTACCAGCTGGGTGACCGTGGGCTTGTCTCTTGCCTTCTCATGTGTAAGTGGAAACAACAATACCGTCCTCACAGATGTATTTGAAAGTCTAAAGAATGATGAGTTTTGCAGGCAACTGACACATATTAAGTTCTCAGCAAATTGCAGATACTTGTTTTATTCCTTTCGTTTTTGAGGAGATCATGTATTGATAAACTTCAGATCTGTGATTGCAAATAAAATAGAGTATTAAAAAAATCTGTTGCGGCACATAGTTGTTGCTCAGTAAATATAAAGCAAAGGCATAATTTGCACGCACTTGGACTGGATTCACAGCCAGCGGGGCATGATGGAAAAAGCACAAAATGAGAACTGAGAGTGGCTGAGTGGATTGCTCAGGGTCACTCAGCTGGTATGTGAAAGAGCTCACTTTCTCATTGAATCTCCACAACAGCCTTGTGAGTCAAGCTGGGCTAACGTTATCTGTCTCTTAGAGAAAATTAAAACCCAGGGAAGGTGAATGTCTTGTGCAAGTCAAATTACTGGATTGTAGAATAATGAACTTCATCACTAAATAGCCATGTGACAAGTCGAGGACTCCCTTTCATCATCTGTAAAATGGGGGTGGTGATATCTGCCCTGACTACCTCAAAGAGTTGTGGTGGAGGTCAGATCGAAGAGCAATAATAAGCCTGGCTTCTATATAGAGAATGATCTATGGTGGACAGGAATTTAGGCCAGATCACCGGCTGGGTAGCCAACATACTTTTACAGAGAAGCAGTGAGGTGACCTGAACTTAGATGGTGGTAGTGGCAATGGAGATGAGGCAGAAGTGGCTGCCTGGGGATAGGTTTTGGAGGTAGAGGTTTTAGGCCTTGGTGATGTTTGGGTTGTGAAGGAGAGAGAAAGAAAGAGTCAGTGATGACTCCAGGTTTTGACCTGAGCAAATGGATACTGGCAGAGAGGTCGGTGGGAAGAGCTGTGTGGGACGAGTGATCCATGGCTGGTTCAGGACATATTGATAGCTGATCAAAGATCTGACAGTGAACTTCCAACACGCTCCTACCTGGGTATATTAAGCCATTCTTGCGTTGCTACAAGGAAATACCTAAGGCTGGGTAATTTATAAAGAAAAGAGGCTTATTTGACTCACGGTTGTGTAGGCTATACAGGCATGGCACCGGCATCTGCTTGGCTTCTGGGGAGGCCTCAGGGTGCTTACAATCAGGGCGAAAGGCAAAGTGGGAGCAGGTGTGTCACATGACCAGAGGAGAAGCAGGAGAGAGAATACGGGGAGGTGCCATACGCTTTTTAAACAACCATATCTCACAAGGATCGCACCAAGAGAATGGTGCTAAACCATTCATGAGAAATCTGCCCCCATGATCCAAGACCCTCCCACCAGGCTCCACTGCTAACATTGGAGATTAGATTTCAACATGAGATTTGGAGGGGACAAAGATACAGACTTTATCACTGGGTGTTGGAACTCTTGAACCAGTGACATCCAATAGTGAGGTGAGCTAGAAGCCAGTGTCAACCATCTTTACTAGGAAAATTAAAAAAAGACATTATTTGGAAAGAAAGATAGGGATGCCTTTTTAAAATTTCCAGTGGAAAAAAGACATTGTACTTTTGTTTTTATTATAAAGAAAAATCTGGTTGAAGTAAAGCTGAAGCATCTGCGTGGTTTTATTAGGCAGTGCTCTCGCCATGTGGTAGGGTAGAAAGTGCAGGGGTTCTTGCACCAGAAGACCTGGGCCCTGAATCTGATGCTGCGACTTGCTGGCTACATGGCCTTGGAGGGGTCCCCTGACCTTTCTGAACCTCAGACCAAGTGGGCTCCTAGTCCTTGCTTTAGGGGCTGGTATGCCAAGTAAGGGAACTCATACTACATGACAGTTCCTTGCACACATTGTGCTCGGTGCACGAAGGTTGATGAGTGAGTGATCGCCTCCTTTATGAGAACAGGATAGAAAAGAACAGCTACATCATCACATGAAGAGTAGTCACTGATGCTTGTGGAGCACTTGCTATATGCTAGGTGCTGTTCTCTGTGATTTACTTGGATTAACTCATTCCATCCTCACAACCACCCTATGAGGCTGGTCCTATTATCCCTGCTTACAGGCGAGGAAACTGAAGTATACAGAGGTTCAATGACTTTCCCAAAGTCACTCCCCTGGGAAGTAGAGTTGGGGGGACTCCAGGGCTCACCGTCTTGTCTCCAGGGACCATGATTTTGCTTACCAGGCTGTATTGTCTCAGCCTGTAAAGAGGAACCCTTGTTAGCCCCATCTTACATATGAGCAAACTGAGGCCCCAAATGGTTAAATGAACTGCAGAAACACAGCCGGTTGGTGACAACTGGTACGTTCTCATTTGTGAGTGGTTAAAAGTGGGGTATCTGAAGCTGGTTCTGCTGGGACCCTCAGCCAAGGAGCAGTTCTTTGCCCGAACAGAGGCTCCATCCATCTGGAGGGTGGGCATGGAACCCACTCACGTTCTCTTGCACACCCCTCCTGGCTCTGGGCTTTGGAAAGGTTGGATTTCTTGCAAGGTGATTGCAGGACAGAGCTCTTTCTTCCCGCTGCCATTCCAGGCGCTTGGCCTGTGCTTTCTCAGTGTCTCTGTTTCTGTGCAGTCGCTTTCACGGGGTCCTCACCTCATCCTGCCTGTGGCATCGTGAGAAATTATGGTCATGGGTATTTGCAGGCTGTGTTGGTGCTGCCAGAAGCCTGCTCTTCTCGCAACTCCAAGCCCAGCGGTGTTGGGTGCAGTTGTTGGCTCCGCATTTCTGCACTTGGCTGCAGCACACTTGGGTGTGTAGGAGAGTCTCAGCTCCCTCCACCAGAAATGTTTGCAACTAATCCAGGTGACTAATATTTGATGCTTCAGTTGTTGGTCTTTCTATAGATATTTATATTGCTATCAACCTGTGCCTTGAAGGTTAAAACTGGCTTTTGGGCCTCTTTAAACCATCTCCTGTGCTTTGCACTTAGTGGGAGTGCATTCAGTAGTTGAGGTGGTGTTCCTATTTCTGACACTTAATTTGCATTTTTAACCTACCCAAGGGAGCTTGTTATTGCATGATGTATCAGGTGAGCTATTGTCAAGACTGTAATCTAATTAAATGCTGGGGTCCAGAAGCCTCAGTGCTTATAATGTTGCAGCGTTTATTCCACACGTGTGGCCTTCGTGCTCAGAGTGCTGCTTATCATCCACACAGCAGACATATTTTGACAAAGGCTTGCCTTCTTTTATGAATCCCAAACTAGTAGCCTTCACATTTGCAATTTTCCTTCTATTTAATGAAGTGGTTCCAGATCATTCTGTGACAATCGAAGGTAAACATTGCTCTGCACAAGGCCTACTCTTCTGGGATTCTTCCATGCCTCTTTCACATTTCTCAAACTCTCAGGCCCAAATGTCAGATGGTGTGGGATTTGGAGAGTCGGGAATCCTGAGCATATTTGAGTTGAAAATTCACACAGAGCTTGAGTGAGTGAGGATGGCGGTGGCGGGGGAGGGCATGAACTGTTTTTGCTTTTATTTAATGGCGCACCTTTGAGAATGATCTTGTGGCTTTTGAGCAGGTTGCAGGACTTCAAGGTCTCCATAGTGGTTTGGTTTGCACCTTTCTTTTTGGATGTGGAGGTTTCCCCTAGGTGGCCAGCTGATTTTTTGGTGCCTCCATTTATGCCCTAACCCCTTCTTTTTCTCTTAGATCATTGCATACCGAGCACATATTTATTAAGTACCAAGTGTACGTCTGATACTGGACTAGAGTCCGAGAAAGACACTAAGATTAAGACATAGTTTCTGTCCTGATGAAAATTGTTCTTTTGTTAGTCTTAGGTGATAATGACCTTTTCTGAAGATAATAGGTCCTCGGAGGAAACCAGGAGATGAGATGATGGAAACACTGATTAATGAGTAAAAAGGGAAATTATAGAAAGGTGGGAAGCAAGAATTTAAGGCTGAGAGCAATCTTCTTTTGCAGGGAAGGACTCACTATTGCCATTTAGCATACTTGCTATAATAGAAGTATGTATGCCGGTGTTCAGGAATCCAGAAAAAGGGGCACCTAAGTATCTGGGGACATCCAAGAAAGCTTTCATGGAAGAAGATGCCTCCTGGGCTGAATCTTGAAGCATGACTAGGAATAGGCCAAGGAGAGGAGTCAGAAGACCACGCTTGAGTCCTGCCATTGTTGGGCTCTCCAGGAAGCGATGGTCAAGGTCTGTGTGCTGAGATCGTATGCCAGATGTGGTGTTAGGGATCGGCATGTTTAACCCAATCAGTCAGATGATCCCAGTAGGAAAAGCAACACAGCAAGTCTGAAACACTGTATCATACCACACAGTGCCTCAGCTCTCAAATTTCTCTATTGGCTTTTGAGCCCTGCAGAAAATCAGCTGTGTCTTTCTACATTCAGGGGGTCCTTCTCCGCTTCTGTACTCATACCTTGAGGTGCTCTCATCTCATCCCCCGCCTCCTTCCATGCCCTCATCTTTGGCTCTCAGTGATTCTGTATTAATAGCAGCGATTAAACTGCCTCATCTCATCAGGGAGGAGATATTAATCTTCATCAGGCCCAAGGAAGAGCTTAATTTTTTCCTGCTCTTCTCCTCTCCCCAGGCTGCCCCACTGAGCTCAGGCACTGTCAGCTGCACCACTGTCTGTGGGACATTTAGTGATCTGCTTCTGCAGATGCGTTTCAGTGAGTTCACTTCTCTGACTCCCTCCCTTAGCCTCCCTGCACCCAGAGCTTCACAGGCTGTTATTGAAGACCACTGTCAGGAGAGGGAGAGAAGGGGAAAAATACTCCCTCAAATAGAAATTCCCAACTTCATTGTCTTGCGTGGCTGCAGGGTAAATTAGACCAGGACAGTACCGCAGCTGAAAGCTGTAGGTTTTTTGGTTTATGAAATCCTATTCAGCCCTTGGAGAAGTATGCCTTTTTTCATGCTATGATTCTGCAGTTAGCTGTGAACTGAGGATGTCAGATGCCCAGGGGCAGGAACAGGAGACAGGGAGGCTCGAGAGTTCATCAAGAAATTAGGATGGAAAAGAGCTATTCCCAAAGCCAGGCATCCCAGGCTGGTCCTGCCGGTGTGCACCAACAGCCAGTGATAACTCAGCGCCCATCAAGTTTCTACACGTGCCCAGTGAGCCCAGGGCTGGCACGGTAAAGGACACATGGTATCTCTTTTAATCTTGACAAACTTGCGAGGCATGTACTGTTATTCCATTTTTCCAATAAGGAAACTAAGGCCTGAGAGAGTAAGTACGTACGCTGAGGTTACACGGCTTGCAAATTTTGTCTTTGCTTTCTTCACTCTTCCTGTCATACTCTGCCCACTGTATCTAGGATGACTGTATAATGTCTTGTCCAAACTGGAACACTGTTAAGAATGCGGGGGGGATAGGGACATACATGGGGACATACAGTTTCCAGTCCATGGAAACTGGGAAGCATGGTCTCTCTTTTTTTTTTTTTTTTTGAGACGGAGTCTCGCTCTGTCACCCAGGCTGGAGCGCAGTGGCGTGATCTTGGCTTACTGCAAGCTCCGCCTCCTAGGTTCACACCACTCTCTGGCCTCAGCCTCCCAAGTAGCTGGGACTACAGGCTCCTGCCACTGCACCTGGCTAATTTTTTATTTTTAGTAGAGACGGGGTTTCACCGTGGTCTCCATCTCCTGACCTCGTGATCCACCTGCCTCGGCCTCCGAAAGTGCTGGGATTACAGGCGTGAGCCACCGCGCCCGGCCCTGGCATGGTCTCTTACGACTGCCCAACCAGGAGGCTGAGGGATGCTTCGTGCTCCTTTGGAAGCAGAGCTAGCCAGATGGACACTATTCCCCCTTCCTCATTTCCCTGCCCTCCTCTCCTCCCATCTGAGCCATCTGAGGCCCCTGAGTGCCCTGCTGGCTTTCCAAATGCCTGATGCTAGAGAGCCTGATTAGTTTGCTTTCACAATGAAGAATCTCAAATAACCACTGCCCCTTCGCCCAGCAAGCAGCCTTCATATCCAGACCACCTCCTAGGATCTATTTAACTCCCTCTACTCTGTGGGATTGGCCTTTGTTCAGCCTTTGAGCACACCTGGGTTGGGGAAATGGTTATTTTTCCCAGAATGGGCTTTATTTGCATTCCACGAGCAATCTTCTTACTCGGAGGGATTCCTGGGACATTAAATTAGCAGAAAATGACATTAGCGCTAAGAACCAAATTCGATTACCTGAAATACATGTATTATTGTAAGAAATAAAACAACGTCATCTCCACCTCCACACCCCCAGATCATACCCTCACACTGAATTGTATTAATGCCAGTTTCCTTTTAGTTGCTGGCTTTGTGTGTGTGTGTGGCAGGTTGTCTCAAAGGCACAGAGTGTATAATAATAGTACATGTCAGCACAAGGCAAGCTTGTGCAGAGTTTTTCCCCATGTAATTTGCCGGCTCTTGTGGCTGTGGTGTGTGAATGTGAGTTCTGGCAGAGGCTTGTACACTCTGCCTTTACCCAGCCCCATCTCCCTAGAATCCAGCCACATCACTACTCACTTTTTCTTCAACTTGACAGTTATTTTTAATGCCTTCATTGTTGTCCCACTCTTTGCTTTTTCTCCAGGAAAGATTCTACGGTGAAAGCTCCACCCACTTCCCCCGTACTTGAATCCTTGGGAGACTTTTCACTCTTTGCTCCTGGAGGCCTCTGCTTATTCCTCTGTTAGCGCTGATCTTTAGGTAGAGTGCTTTGCACACGGTTGGTGTGTGATATGTCCTGGAAAATGGAACAGTGATATCACTACCTCATAACGCTGTTATGGACTTAAGTAATGCACCTAAAGCACAAAAATAGAGCCAGGTGTGTAGTAATTAATATTAGCAGTTAACGCTTGTTATGACTAAATGTTGGGAAAGTGTTAAAATGCCAGGACTTAGCGTGTGTTACTTCCACAAAACTGACAGCTCTGGGAGGGCAGGGGTGTGTCGTCTTATTCAATTTTGCATCCCCAAAGCCAAAGCCAGAGTACCTGGTAAATGCTCAGTGAGTTCAGCTGAGTGAATGAGACAAAAGCCCATGTGGGGAAGGGAGGCTTTGAAGAAGACATTCTATTCCCTGTATACCTGGGGTAGGTTTCGAGGGTGGAATGTAGGGCCTGAGATTCATCAGAAACAGTTATGGGACAAATAAGAAGCAAATGACGCAGGGTCATTTCAGGCTGCTGCACATCTGAATCTGACTGTTTACGTGGGGGTGCCACAGTCTTCTGTGAAGAGAGGGGAGGATCCCTTCTGACCTACACAGCATCCAGGTCTTCGTGCATGTCAGGGAGGTTTGACCTGTACATCTTTTGTGGGAAGCCAGAGTCATTTGTTGACATTGAGGCAGAGAACTTGCTCTGAGTCCATCGATGCCTGAAACTCCTTTTGTGACCATGGCAAGTTATTTATCTCCTTTCTAGAATCTAAAATATGGTGGCTTGGGATCGGGGGAGTTAAAACACATTTTTTATGGATTGCTATCCTCTAAAAAGAGTAAAAATGAAAATAAAGTAAATCAACCAAAAGATCAGAGCTAAAGCTGTGAGATTCTTAGAAGGAAACATAAGAGTAAATCTTTGTGACTTTAGATTAGGCAACGGTTTCTGAGATATGACACTAGAAGCACAACCAACAAAAGAAAAAAATAGATAAATTGAGCTTCATCAAATTAAAATCTTTTGTGTTTCAGAGGGTTCCTTCAAGAAAATTAAAAGACACAAAATAGGAGAAAATATTTGCAGTCATTTATCTGATAAGGGACTTATGTACAGAATAGATGAATAACTCTTATAACTTAACAATGAAAAGACAAATAAGCCAATTAAAAAATTGAGTGATGGATTTGAATAGATATTTCTCCAAAGAAGATACACAGGTTGTCAAAAAGCACATGAAAAAATGCTCAGCATCATTAGTTATTGGGGAAATGCAAATCAAAACCACAATGGTATACCACTTCACACTCACTAGGGTGGCGGTTATCAAAAAGAAATAACAAGTGTTAGAGAGGATATGGAGAAATCGGAACCCTTATACATTGCCGGTGGGAATATAAAATGGAACAGCCACTTTGGAAAACAGTTGGGTGATTCCAAAAAAAGTGAAATGTGGAGTTGACATGTGGCCCAGCAATTCCGCTCCAGGTATCTATGCCCAAAGGAACTGAAAACAGGTTCTCAAACAAAAACATGTACAAAATTTTTCAAGACAGCATTATTCATGATAACCAAGAAGTGAAAACTACCTGAATGTCTATCAGTTAATAAATGGATAAACAAAATGTGGTCTAGCCATACAATGGAATGTTATTCAGCTATTACAAGGAATGAAGTACTGATACATGCTATAACATGGGTGAAATTTGAAAACACGCTACGTGGAAGAAGCCAGATACCAAAGGCCACATATGTACATGTGATTCCATTTATATGAAATGTCAGAATTGGCCAGTCCATAGAGATAGAAAGTAGATTGGTGGTTTTGAAGGTTTGAGGAAGGCGGGAATATGGGGAGGGTTGGGGTTTGTTTTCTGGGTGATTAAAATGCTACGGAATTAGATAGCGGTGATGGCTGCACAACTCTGAATACCCTAAAAACCACTGAAATGTACACATTAAAAGGGTGACTTATTTGGTATATGAATTATATCTCAATAAACGTATTATTTAAAGAAGATAAATGGAGCTGCTGAAGGCAAAACAGGACCAGGAGACTTGGATCCCTTCATTCACCAGTTCTTTCAACCCTCCCTTTCCTCCACTGCTGGGGTATTTTCTGAGATACCTTTGTTGGGGAGGAAAAAAAAATCAATTTTTCCCTCTAAGTTCTTAGCTAGGACGGACCTCTGTAACAAAAGATAGATTAACAGGAGAAAATCAAACAGAAGTTTATTAAGGTGTGCATTTCATGTATGCAGGGGGGACACCCAGGGAGTGCATGGTTCTCAAAGGGGTGGTTTAGAAATCCAGCTTATATTGCATCTTCAACAAAGAACAGTAAGTTTTTAGGTAAGTAACAAAACAAAGGAAAAAGGCTTCGAGTCCCTAGGTGCAGCAACTGTGGGAAGGCAAATATCAAATACATGGGAATTTGTTAAGCAGATTCCTCCAGTGCCTTCTCCTGGCTGAGAAGGGCCAAAGCTTCTTTCATGATCAGCCTTTGTCCTTCCTGGAAGAAGGAGTGAAGGGACACTGCTACCTTTGTAAACTGATGTCCTGCTTTTAGGCAGGGCAGAGAGCTTTTGTTCTGTTTCTTCTCAGTTGTCTCTTATTCAAAATAATGCTTTTGCTAAAGTGACATATTTTGGGCTGGCAGATTCTGATCTCCTACACCTTCCAAGTTCCAGGAACATGTTTTGGAGGACTTCTATGGTTCCTTCCAACTTCGATATTATGTGTTTCCAGGAAACAGGTGTGAGGCATTCCATGGTAGCCAGAGGTAGCATGGAAGATGTTTCCTTTTGCCTATGTCTCTGAACCCCTTACTCTGAAGGGGCGTGACCACCGACTCTCCCAGTTTAAACAGAGGTGGGAGAAGGTCTTTGTGATGACTTTCCACTTAGTTTATAGACCAGTCCTATACCAGAGCTGAGGCCAGGATTATTAGGAAAGAGAAGCATGAACCCCAAACTCCTCTCCCTCATTGAAACATGAAAGCTAAACAGGGCTTCCATGCAATTTCCCAGGACAAAGAGAAACAAGCAAGAGAGAAAGCAAAAAGCCCTCCCGCAGATGAACAAAGAGTGTTTCAAAGCACAATACTACTGTTGTTTTAGTTCCTCTCGTAAAACTCTTCAGTGGTCTCTCACTACTAATAGGATGAAGTCCAGCATCAAGGCCTCTCATCACCAGTGTCATCCCTCACCTCTGCACCAGCTCCCCCATCCCATGGTCTCCCATTCTCTGTTCCTTTGACCACATCAGTACCCTCTTCTGCCGTCCTTGTAGGCAAGCTCATGTTCGTCTTTCAAGATCCAACACATCACTATGATATGGCTAGAATTGTGTCTCCCACAAAAGATGTTGAAGTCCTAACCCCCTGGTGCCTGTGAACGTGACCTTATGTGGAAAGAGGGTCTTTGCAGATAATCAAACTAGGATGAGGTCATTAAGGCGGCTGTAATTCAATTTGACTGTGTCCTTGTGCAGAGGGGAAATTTGGACACAGAATGACATGTACAGAGGATCAGATGATGTGAGACACACGGAGGATGTCATTTAGAAGCTGAGGACTCCTGAGGTTACTAGAAGCTTGGAGAAAGCCCTAAGCGTATCCCTCCCTGACACCCTTCAGAACCAATCCTGTTGACAGTTTGATCTCAGTCTCCTAGCCTCTAAAACTGTGAGGCAGTACATTTCTATTGTGTAAGCCACCCAGGTTGTGATTCTTTGTTTGTTATGGTAGCCTTGGAAAACAAATGCCCACCATCTCCATGAATGCTATGGTCTTTCTGCTTCTCCCCAGCAAGCCATTCAACAAGCCGTGTCCCCCAGCACTTTGTCGTTTGATTATTATACTAAATTTACATTATATTCACTGCTGTTTGTCTATCTCCCTAAATATACTGTGATGGCAAGGTTTATCTCTTTGCATTCCCAACAACTAGTGATTTACCTGTCACTTAGGAAAGATGTGGCTGGATGGATGGATAGATGGATAGATGGATGGATGGGTAAAAAATTAGTCTCTTGATTTCTTCATTCCAAAAGAGAAAAGCCAACCTGTATCAAAGCTCAAAGTTTCAAATGCAAATTAACATGTGAAAGATATATGTGTCATCTCTATTTGAGTCTCTTTGGCAGGCAGTCTTAAGTATGCATTTCCCAGTGTAAATAACTCTGGATGTGTTAAAAAGTTCACCAGTGTTTAAGTTCATTAAATTAATGTTGTCATTTTGAGCTGCCGAGTGTGTTGCAGGTTGTAAGCTGTTCATCACATTTCTTTAATTTTGCAGTAGTGTCATCTTCAGGAATGTGGGGTGTATTAAAAATAGAAGAGTTATTTTATATCAAAGAGCCCAGGACCAGGAATTAAATTACTAGAGTCTGCCACTTAATGCTGTGTGGCTTTTATTGATTCCTTCATTCAGGAATGCAGCTAAAATCTGAGAGCCGGCCTTCTGCCATGGACTCTGTCGGGCATGAGAGGTGCGGAGGTAAAAGCACCAGCTTCCACCCTCGAGTGGCTTAATACTCTGGGGTTGTTGCGAGATGAATGAAGCCAAATTCATGAGCAGAATGGTAAATGATATGGGGGACATTATCATAGGCGGCCATGGAGGCATGGATAGAGGGCACCCGGCTGCAAGTTGGTCATCAGGAAGGGCTTGATACAGGAGATGACATGAACACAGGAGGTGCTTTGCCTGCCCACAGGTGAGGGGGTGGGTGGTGTTTCAGACTCATAGAAAGGCGAATGCAAAGACCCTGAGGCCCATTCTGGGACTTGAAGGCAAATCCCTAGGAAAAGGGCCGAGGTGAACGGCTGCCACAGGAGAGTGTGCGAGTAGACTCTGGTGGTGAGTGCTTCAAAGGTGACTGCAATCTTCTGGATGCAGAGATTCCAGGGGGCTTCTAATATATGCAGCCCTATACATTCAATCTTTTCCCCATTTGCGAAGAATTTGCTTACTTAGACTTTCATTACTCACCTATTCTTCCATTTCTGGAACACAGACTCTGGTGTCTGGTACTATGCTCAGCACTGTGCATGTGTCAGTGACTCAACCAAGCGTCCTGGAGTTTCTGTTTGGAGAGGAGGCCTCATATTCTCTGTCAACTTCCCAAATCTTGTTCACTGCATTCCTGGATCATAGGCTGGTTCCTTCTCCCCGCTTCTCCTGCGAACTCCTGCCCCAGGGCCTTTGCACTGGATTCTGGTTCTGTTCTACTGCCCTTTCAGATCTACTCATTCTTCTTCAGGGCATCCACAGGCTTCCTGGCCCCTCAGCTCCCTTTTGTGAGGTCTTCTGCAGAAGATCAGCCAGAAGGAAAGGAGGGAGGCCAGGGATTCCCCAGCCCCGCCCGCTCCCCGAGGCTGCTTCTCTGTGGGCAGAAGGAACGAAGCAATGAAGACCACAGCTCCTGCACACGACCTTTCTGTGCTGTTCTTGTGTCTCATTTCTGATGTCCTTTCTGGGACCACTTCAGGCCTAGAGGTGACATGGTGCCTACTATCACTAACCTGGGGCTACCGAAGCTCTTGTTGTTTCCGTAAGCCCTGCTTTTCTTTTTTGTTTCATGAATTTACTGCATAATAGATAAGGTGATTTCAGAAGACATAGTATAGCTGAATAAAAGCAAGGCATTTGAATGCTTAATCATTATTTTCCTGTAGCGAAATATGGTCTGAATACAAGGACTTTTAAGTAGATTAATTACTGATTCAGTGACTATATCTAAAGCTGCCTTGTTTGTTTTTAAAACGACTTTATAGAGGATGAAAGACATACAAAAAGCTGTACATATTTAATGTGTACAACTTGATGAGTTTGCAGATAAATGTACACTGGTGAACCCATTACCACAGTCTATAATCCATCACCTCTGTTTCCTGCTGCCCTCTTTATTTATTATTAGTGATAGGGCTTAACATAAATCTACCCTCCCAGCAAACTTCGAAGTCTACGATACAGTATTGTTAACTATAGGCTCTGTGTTTTGCAGTAGCTCTGTAGGACTTACTCATCTTGTGTAACTGTAATATTGTACCCTTTGAATAATACCTCCACATTTCTTCCTCCCCCCAGCCCCAGGAAGCACCATTCTACTCTGTTATTACACGCTCTTCAAATTACCCAGTTTGAGTATGGCATCTTTTTCCTGCTACAGCTCTGACGAATACAACTAGCCATTCCCTTTCCTGAATTTAACAGCTCTGACGAATACAACTAGCTATTCCCTTTCCTGAATTTAACCTCCTCAGATATCCAAGTTTTGCCCCAATATCACTATCTCAATAAGTTCTCTCGGGTCATTCTACTTAGAAATGCAGGCCGGGCTGGGTGCGGTGGCTCATGCCTGTAATCCGAGCACTTTGGGAGGCTGAGGTGGGCGGATCACAAGTTCAGGAGATCGAGACCATCGTGGCTAACATGGTGAAACCCCGTCTCTACTGAAAATACAAAAAATTAGCCAGGCATGGTGGTAGGCGCCTGGTAGTCCCAGCTACTGGGAAGGCTGAGGCAGGAGAATGGCGTGAACCCGGGAGGCGGAGCTTGCAGTGAGCCAAGATCACACCACTGCACTCCAGCCTGGGCAACAGAACAAGACTCCGTCTCAAAAAAAAAAAAAAAAAAAAATTGCAGGCTGGGCGCAGTGGTTCACGCCTGTAATCCCAGCACTTTAGGAGGTGGAGGTGGGTGGATCACCTGAGGTCAGGAGTTCCAGACCAGCCTGACCAACATGGTGAAATCCTGTCTCTACTAAATACAGAAAAAAATTAGCCGGGTGTGGTGGCGCATGCCTGTAATCCCAGCTACTTGGGAGGCTGAGGCAAAAGAATCGCTTGAACCAGGGAGGCGCGGAGGTTGCAGTGAGCCGAGATAGCACCATTGCACTCCATCCTGGGCAACAAGAGTAAAACTCCGTCTCAAAAAAAAAGTAATTATAATAAAAATAAAATAAAATAGAAATGCAACCCCCTCTCCACTTCTCATCATTCATCCCTACTTAATTTTTCTCCTTACCACTTTTTAATATGTTGTATAATACAGTCATATTACAGTTGACCCTTAAACAACATGGGAACTAGGGACACTAACCCCCTGCACAGTCAAAAATTCGTGTAAGCTTTCAAAAACAATTTTATGGATACATAGTAGGTGTATAGATTTACAGCGTGCATGAGTTGTTTTGGTACAGGCATGCAATGTGAAATAAGCACATCGTGGAGATGCATATAACTTTTGACTTCCTGAACATTTGACTCTTGATAACCTACTGTTGACCAGAAGCTTTAACAGTAACAGTTGATTCACATGTAGTTTGTATGTATGTTATATATTATATACTGTACTCTTACAGTGAAGTAAACTAGAGAGGAGAAATTGTTATTAAGAACATCAAAAGGAAAATATATTTACTATGTATTAAGTAGAAGCAGATCATCATAGAGGTTTTCATCTTCATCTTCATGTTGAGTAGGCTGAGGAGGAGGAGAGATTGGTCTTGCTGTCTCAGGGGTGGCAGAGGCAAGAGAAAATCTGTGTATTTGTGGACTCATGCACTTTAAACCCGTGTTGTTCAAGGGTTAACTGTATTTTGGTCTCTGTCTCCCTCAACACACACACGCACGCATGCACGCACACACACACGCATGCACACACGCACACACACACTTCATGAGGGCAGGGACTTCTGTCATTTCCATACCCCAACAATGAGACTCATGCCTGGCATCTTATAGGTCCTCCATAAATACTTGATGAGGGGAGAACGGGTAAGCATGAGAGCCTCTACATGTGTGTACGCTAACTCATTTGCTTCTCTTGACAGCCTTCCTCAGGAAGCAGAGATAAAGATCTTTGCAACTGTAGGAACCAAGGCTTAGGGAAGGGGCTAGGGCCATGTCCATCCTGTGTTCCTGTTGTTGATCTTCATTGTCCTTGATAGCGCCTGTTGTTTGGGAATGGGCTTTGCAGGCCCTTAAATAAGGGCACCCAGCTCTTTGAGGGATTGGTGGCATTTTCAGTGGAAGTAAATGAAAAGCCTCCTAATGTGGCTACTTTGAAGCAGACCAGAGTCATTGGATGGAGGAAGTCTGGTGTGTTATACCCTAACTGATCATATTATTAGCATATTTATCTCTCATGATATTGAGCACAGCAAGTAAATTTGATTCCTCATCTTCTGGAATGCATTAGTGATAGTTTATATCCCTTGAAAGGCTGAAGCTTAACCCATTTCCCATGACATTGTTCAATGTCCCTTCTGTCAAAGGAGAGAGACCTAATTCAACTCATGTCTTTTTCTCTTCCTTCTGAGGCTGCTGCCTTAAAATTGGATGGTTGATTGCAGTCAGTATCTTTGGCTGTGACTTCATGTAATTATTTCCTTCCCAATTCCTTTCCCCATTGCATATTGCCTTTTGCTTAATCTGCACTTTGGTGTTCTATATACATGTGTTTTAATTGTAAGTTAACTCATTTTGGGGGAGGGCAGGAATTAAGGTTTATATTATAAATGAAACAAGAATTCTTATCACTATATCATCGTCAGTTCATCATCTCTATGCATTATTTTATGATGACACTACATAAATTGGTTTCTTTTCTGAAATAAAAGCTCATTCCAAGAATGCCTTTTTTTGTGGGGAGGGGGGTGACAGTTAATACCTTTGAGCTTCTGGATCTTTTTACAAACATTATCAGACAAGTAAAGAAAGCTGGATATTATTTCTTTGGCAAAGTAGAGAAAGCTGAGGCCAACCGCAGGCCAAGGACTCACTCACCTAATACTATATTTACTCCCTTCCTCTATCCGTAACCGTGTGTTTGTAGACTTGATAATTATTGAGTGTCTACCTCATGGGTGTAGACCTATGGGTCCTGCCCTCTAGTAGCTAGTGAGGAAGTGGGACACAGCAGGCCAGTCTAGTATAGCATCCTACCTGCCTAACAGGCATTGCCTACTGGGAGTGTGTCTGTCCTGGAGTGTCAGGGACAACTTCCCACAGGTGGTACCTGGAAGAAATCCCCTGGAAATGTGTCTCTGTTGTTGGTTTTTTTTTTTTTTTTTTTTTTTTTTTTGGTGGTAGGGGTGGAGACGGAGTCTCGCTTTGTTGCCCAGGCTGTAGTGCAGTGGCGTGATCTTGGCTCACTGCAGCCTCTGCCTCCCAGGTTCAAGCGATTCTCCTGCCTCAGCCTCCTGAGTAGCTGGGATTACAGGCATGCACCCCCGTGCCTGGCTAATTTTTGTATTTTTAGTAGAGACGGGATTTCACCATGTTGGCCAGGCTGGTCTTGAACTCCTGACCTCAAGTGATCTGCCTGCCTTGGCCTCTCAAAGTGTTGGGATTACAGGAGTGAGCCACTGAGCCTGGCCGTTCTGGAAATTTTTTAATTTGTGGGATAAAGAGTCTGTAGGCTGGAGGAATAGCCTGCATATGTGTATAGGTGTAGATGATGAATACGGGATACTACAAGTGGAGTTGGGGCTACTGAAGTAGACAGGAGCCAGATCATATGAATTGAGTAGCACAGTTGATGTGAAGTCATTTCAAGGGCTTTGAGCAAGACATTGCTGGATCAGACTTGGGTTTTCTCTCTGTTTATATGGACACTTGGCCTTTGATATCAGGGCTTGTGAGTGCAGATCCATCTACCTGACCCCTGAATACCCCTTACCTGTCCCCAGTCCTTTGATCTCACCTCTCCTCCCTGCTGATGTCTTTAATGCTGGCCCTGCTCTGCTCAAATCTCACCTGCCCTAAGAAGCTTCCCCTGACCTTTCCAAGCCTCAGGAAGTCCCTGCCTTCCCTGACTGTCGTTGCCTTGGTTTTCTGTGTTAGCCATTTAGAGAGAGGAACTAGTTTCAGGTCCCAGCCTTATCAGCCAGTATATTTGTGATATCACGTGTATCATGTGATTCTTCTGGGTCTTACTTTCTGCATCTATAAGATGGACATGATAATAATACTTTCCAGACCAAGAAGATAAACAGACATACATTTGTATTCTTCCTCAAGCAAATGTGAATTTGTGCTAGATCACCTTCCTCTTAAACGACATTCCTGGTGGGGATTGAAGCCACAGGGCTCTAGTAAGCTACATCTCTCTCCACGTTCTGTTTTCCATCTTCACTGACATTGCTGTAGGGTGGTGAGAGAAACAGGGCATTAGATACACTCTTTTACTTTATTTGGTTTAGCAAAATATTAGCACCTTTATGGGTCTTGGTTCCTCATTGCGATATATACAAGAGTAATACCTACTACCTCCTTTAATGAGAGAATTGAATCAGATGGTGAATGGATCACCCTCTGTTCAGTGCCCAGCCCCAAACAGATGCTAATTAAATGGCTTAATCAAACCAGCTCAGGCTGTTACTGGATGTCATCCCTTGGCACAGTCTGACATTTCTTGATTCTTGTTAACAGCCCTATAACAATATTGTCATAAGAAATAGAAAACATCATTTTCTTTAGGGACCAATTTGGAGCCCATCCATAACTGTCTTCCAGCTCCTCCTGGCTTCCCCCTGTCACCTTGACCTTCAGGGAGCCTTGTTTCTGCTGCCGGCATTGACCCATCCGTGCTAGCCATGACAGACTGATTCTCCCTACCCGGCTTTTCCAAATCTACTCACATCTCATCTCAAAACCTCTTTCTCTCATCCATATTGCCTTGCTTTCTCATTCCTTTGCCATTTAGTAGGTAATGATTTCTATTAAGATGATCATCAGGATTTATTGAGCAGAGAGGTAGATATTGACACTGACTGGGAGGCATGATCCGAGTGGGGAGGGAATTCTGTCCCTGCACCCCAATTCCCCCAGTCTTGCCTGCTGCTTATAAAGTTAGCTGGAGTCCCAGTGTAGTGCCCCATCTGTGCAGTAGGGAAATTGCCCACCTTGGGGCTGGCCAAGTAATGGAAGCTTCACAAATACACCATATTAAAAAGGACTTTGCACATCTGGCATTAGAATATTTCCAGCCCTGGCTCAGTGCTTGGCACAGGTGGCTGTTCACAGATATTTTTAGAAGCAAGGAAAGGAGGAGGGGAGGAGTATATCATAAGACATTTGGCATCTCCTGCCTTTGCTGAGTAAAGGGGAAGGAATTTAGGATTTGTACGGTGAATATTGCCACGTGTTTACGAGTATTTATATAATGCTAATATTTCAGTTGCAGGGAAAAACTTGTCCTGAAGATGTTAAAGCTGGAAGTCAGTGATCTTCTACACCTCCTGGAATTTTATAGCTGTGTGCTCTCAGGTTTAGAGTCAGGAGGGGAAGGCCCAGGGCCATGTGTCATTTCTTGGCAGAGCTTGGCTTAGGACTACTTTTCATCCATTCCCTGTTCTTTTCCATATTTCCCAGTTTTCCCATTTTTGTCTCAATCTGTCTGCCTGTCTGTTGCACTCTACCCATCTACTTATTTACCTGTCGGCTTCCACTGTGCTCTAGAATGTTGCCCACTGTGATCTTTTGGGCAAGTTAATGTCTCAGGGCCCAGTTTCCTCAACTGGAAAAAAAAAAAAAAAAGAGTAGCTGTGAAAATAAATAGTGATTTATAAGCGCTAGATTTTGGGGGCTGGAGAATCCTTCCTTATGGGGGGCAGGGAGGCTGTCTTGTGAACTGTATGACATTTTGCAGCTTTCCGAACCTACTATGTACCAGCAGCATCTCTCCCCTGATTTGTGACTCCAAAAGTGTCTCCAGACATTGCCAAATGTCTCCGCGGCAGGGGGGCAAATTGCCCTTGGCTGAAAAGTACTGGCACAGAGTAAGCAATTATTAAATATTGTTTTAAAAAAAACACTGTCATTATGACTATTCTGCAGTTATTTAATTTATCTGAAAAGTGTTCATTTGGTGCTTACTGTATATACTGCAGAGCTCTGAGCCGTGAGAGGCAAGTGGAAAATGTAAGCCTGATGTTCTTGCTTTCTAGGAGATTACGATGCGGTTCACAGTCACACACCTGTGGATGGGCTTCCGAGGGGGCTTTGAACGTTTTGTTTCAACCTAAATTTAGCAAAAGGACAATTGTGAGGCTTGAGAGGCATGTCTGCATGCTCCCAGACCTTCTCTTTGGGTTCGTGGTCCTCCCCTACCCTGCCCCTTTTGATTACCAGTGAATGCAGCAGTGGTGACAGGTAAATGACCTTGTTGGTTGGTCCTCTAGTTCCTGATGAACCCTCAACTGGGAGGGACTGTCTGTGAATCAGAGCAGCTGGCTCTTTGAAAAGAAAGGCACTATTGCACAGTTGCTGCTGCTGACCCTTGCATTCAGAATACCGGCCGAGGCCAATGGGCAGGTCACCACCCTGTCGCCTCTGTGCTCCTGCCTCCCAGACCACATCCTGGGATTCTTCCCTCGCCCCATGCAGTAGCAGAAGGGTGTCACAAAGCGACTCTGCTCAGACCCACCATCAGACCTGACCGCTGGCCTTTCCAGAGCTTCCAGAGCCACTCAGCCCTGCCCTCCTGGCTCTGCCTCCCGCGGCCCCCACCCTTGTGTCTTCTCTTACTCACCTCACACACACCTGCTCTCCTCACTGTGCGCACTGCCCTGGCCCCGCTTCTGGGAATGCTCTTTCCATGGATCCCTTGTAGCCCCTTTACTTCCTGCAGGTCTTTGTTTACACTTCACCTTGTGAGAGAGGGCCCTTTATGAAGTCAGAATCAGAACCCTCCTCCTCCCACCCCACCTTTCCTTCCTTTATTTCCTTCACAACTCTGATCACTGCCTGATGCCTCCACTGTATTTGCTGGCTGTTGAGACTGTCTCTTTTCTATGTTCTCCCGCTGGACTGTAAACTCCCTGAGGGCAGGTGATTGGTTGGTCATGTTCAGTACACTTAGAAGTGCCCAGCTTGTCCCAGACACTCAGTAATAATTGCCGAATGAATGAATGGATGAATAAATGAATGAGCCAAGGGAGAAGAAGTTACCATGACTGTTACAAAGTTGATAAATGCATGCAGAGCCTTTGTTCACCATTTTCTGGGAGGAATGGGTCTCCCGTACCATAGCCTGTGGGCATGGCTGGGTGGAGTTTGGTCTACATTATATCAACTCTTCCCTTCTCTATCTGGAGATAATTCTCTCCTGGGTAATGAGCCTACTGGAGCATACAGATGAGGGCACGAAGGTGACCCTTATAGAACTGTGGCTGAGAGCCAGGGATTCCCACTTCCACCTCCACCCCCATAGCATCATCAGTCTAGTCAAGAAAGACCCGTGGTCTTTGTATTATGGGACTTAGTCCTTCATTGTCCCTGTGGCTCTGCTTTTCACCCCTGTCTCATGCTCTCCTCCTTCACCCTTCCCATCTGATGTGTGCTGAATTGTTAGGAGAACAGCAAAAATGCATTCCTTTGCTGACACTTCTCTACCTGTGGTTGTCTTCCACTCTGCGTCATGTGCCGTATCCGCCTGTCACCCCGGCACACTGTCAGCCACGCAGCCTCTCGTTCCCTGTGTTTCCTTGCACACTCGTGCTCTGCTGGCCTCTGTCACTCTCACTGGGCGTCCTGCCTGCCTTCCCACCCCCTGCACGTGTCCCTGTTGGCACTTCCCTATTCACACTCTCCTCTCCACCAAGCTTCCTTTGACGCTTCCTCTTTCAAGCTGTGCAGCCTTCTTCAGCTGACAGTTCAGCATCGTTCCATTTCTGAAGCAGGGAATTGGTTTGGTGGGCACTAGCTCCAAGTTTGCCTTTGTGGTATTTCTAGCCTCCTTCATTCTCTTTCCTGTTTTGGCTGCAACCAAAGGCTGGGCTCAGTGATGAATCGCAATTGGGTTTGGTGGCCCAGCCGGGCCCTTCTCAGGTTAAGGGTGGTATAGGGAGTTGTGTGAATGAATGAGGTCCCGCAGAGAGACCATCACACATGGGTAGAGGGGGAAAAAAGGGGGGCTCAGAATGCCTGTGTGGATGGCAGTCTCCTGAAATACAGGAGTTTTTCTCTCTAAGGTACACCACAAATTTTATCTTCCAACATTTCTTAGTCATTTTCCAAATTCCATGTCCCTTTTCCCTTGATTTGTTGATTAACTTCATATGAGCCTTACCCAAATCCGCCTGATATCAGTGTGTGTGTCTGTGTGTAAGGTTTTTGGAATCAGCAAGCACCTTTTTCATTCTTGTTTCCACTCATCACCTTACAGTACCTCACTGGACACAATGGATTTCCAAAGCATCTGTAGACATGAGCTGATTCTAGAATTTCTTTGTACATCACCCACATCCTGGAGCTGTTTCTTGGGAGAAAGAAAGATGGCATGCCTCCCTTTGCCCCTGGACCCTGAAGGCTGTGCTCTTTACACCGTGAACCTAAATCTGGGCTTGGTCTGCAGCCAACCTGGAAATTCACTACTGCAACTCCGTTTTCTTTTTAACGAGAGCTTCATACGGTTCTTTTAAACTAGAAACTTCTCTTTCTTGTAATTGTCTCTAATGGCTTCCTTGTTCGAACAAGCCTTTGCTAGCTTCTGTCTGACCCCTTTGGCTTTGCTTTCTGCCTCCTTTTATCCTCCAGCCTTTCGTATAGATTCCAGAGGAATCTTCCTCAAAGGCTGTGCCACTCCCTGTTCAAAGGCTTTCTGTGGCTCCTCATTGCCTAGAAAGCAAGTGAGTAAGGCCAGATATTGTTAGTGGCTCACTTACCGCATTCCAGGATCTTGCTCTAATTTCCCTTTACAACGTCATCAAAACAGCTCACCCCCAAGCTCCGACCTCAACTCCCACTTGCGACCCCAATCAGCAGCCTACCCATGCTGCGGCCTCGATGGTTCCCTGAATGCACGTGTTCCTTTTCTGTCTCTGTGTTGTTAACTCATGCAGGGTCCACCCCCTTCTTCCTAGACCTACCTCACCTTTTTTGTAGAGTCCCTCTTCACTGTTTCTTCCATTCTGTCTTATCAGGATTATTTTTCTGTCTTTGGTCTTGCCATTATACTTCCCTCCATTGGGTGACTTACTATAACGTGCCTTCTGCTGTGACTCTGTTGGATGTTTTTGAGTGTTCATTCAATTCTAAGGGCAGGAATGATGTATTTCCCCCATAATGTGCAGCTCGGTTCCATGCACATCATAGGTGCTCAACACGTTTTCATTCACTTGAAGGACTTTTACCGTTGTATTTGTCACAATATTTGTTACTGTTATTTTTGTCATCACCACATCATTGACCTTAGTATCTTCCTAATGACTTATAATTGACAAAGTAATTCCCTCCCTTCTTTCCTTCCTTTCCTTCCTTTCCTTTCTTCTCTCTCCCTCTCCCTCCTCTCCTCTCCCTCTCCCTCCTCTCCCTCTCCCTCCTCTCCCTCTCCCTCCTCTCCCTCTCCCTCCTCTCCCTCTCCCTCCTCTCCCTCTCCCTCTTCCTCCCTTCCTTTCTCCCTCCCAGGCTAGAGGGCAGTGGCGTGATCTCGGCTCATTGCAACCTCCGCCTCCCAGGTTCAAGCGATTCTCCTGCCTCAGAGTCCCGAGTAGCTGAGATTACAGATGCCCACCACCACGCCCGGCTAATTTTTTGTATTTTTAGTAGAGACGGGGTTTCACCATGTTGGCCAGGCTGGTCTTGAACTCCTGACCTCAGGTGATCCAACCGCCTTGACCTCCCAAACTGCTGGGATTACAGGCGTGAGCCACTGCGCTCAGCCAACAAAGTAATTTTTTACCCAAGGATCTCCATTGTGGCTGTGACTGCTGCCTATAAAACAATATACCAAAGACAAAAATAAAGACAAAAACAAAAATAAAGAGTACAAAACAGTATGGGGGTTGTACATAAGGCTTTTGTGTTCCTGCTTGTACCAAGGAAAAAGATACCACTCAGACCAATCAGGATGCACAGTCCAGAGCTTCTGTGAGAAGTTCTTTGTCCTTCTATGCCACTTAGAGTTTTTCTACGATACCTTTAACCTGCACCATTTAATAAGCTTTTAAGGAGCCGCACATGCATTTACTGTGTGGCTGCTCTGATTCTTTGGCAAATTTATAAGCTGCCCTTCAGTTGGGGGCATGGATTTGCCTTAGAAGATCGTCTTTAAAGACACTTGCTGAGAATGTTCACAAGTGTGTTGCCCTTTTATGCTCATAGGTGTGTGTACTTTCTTGTTCTTTGCCTTTC
Organism: Homo sapiens; assembly: GCF_000001405.40. Classification (NCBI taxonomy): domain Eukaryota; kingdom Metazoa; phylum Chordata; class Mammalia; order Primates; family Hominidae; genus Homo; species Homo sapiens. The sequence goes on along the minus strand of NC_000022.11, from coordinate 33,721,499 downwards.
CCTATTTCACCCAGACATTTAAGGTAAGTGGGTGAATTTCGATATTGTATGAATTGATAATAGTCCTCTGTGGTTATCAAGCATGGCACCCATAAGAAACTTGCACATTCAAATTCTCACCTAATCGTCATAATACACCTGTGGAAACAGGAATTTTTGCCCATATTCTATGAATGAGACTATTGCCATTCAGAAGGAATGTGTGTTTTGCTCTGATTTAATGTCTTGTTCAGGGTCCTACCTCTGGAAAGCCAGGATTTCAGGGTAGAACTAGCAAGTCTTAAGTTCAGTCCTCTTCTCCTCCACAATACCTGGTTCCAAAGTCACTTCTACATAGGTAGCCTCACTAAATATTGTAGCAGCTGCAAATGATAAAGCCCAGTTTTGTTGTTTAGTTGACACCACACTGTTGAATTCCACTTCCTTTGCCTCCATTTCTTTGTTTTCCATCAAGAGGATTTGGTTTACTTTCATGCTCTGAATATCTGGTTTCCTTTCACTCCTCCAGGAATCCCGTAAGCACTAAGGACCCCAAAAATTACCCACCCAAAGCAGGCTCTCTTTCCCTGCTTGAGGAGGGCATTCCTGGGAATTGGGCTGCTCTTTTTCCAGCAGCCCCCTGGCCTCAGAAGCCTTATCTTTTCTTAGGAATCATCTCTGCCGTGACACCAGATCAGCAGACCAGCCACTACACTCCCTTGCTTAAACCACCAGTGGCTTAAGTCAGTCTACACTTCTTCAGGCCTACAAGGATCTGTGAGATGTAGGCCCTGTCCACTTTGTAGCCAGTTCCTTCTCTGATATTTGCTTTTCCAATCTTATGTAACCACAGGCCACATTCTCTGGACTCTGGGACTTGGACCTCAAGTGTGTGCTGGTGCAGTCACTCTCAGTAAAGAAAACAAATTATTAAAAAGTAATTGTAGTACTTTTGTAGTATAGTCATGCGTATGACTGGGATACATTCTGAGAAATGCGTTGTTAGGCAATTTTGTTGTTATATAAATATCATAGAGTGTACACCTAGCCTATATAGTATAGCCCAGGGGTCCTCAGCCCCTGGTACCAGTCCGTGGCCTATTAGGAACATGGCCACACAGCAGGAGGTTAGGGACTGCCGGCCAGTGAGAGAAGCTTCATCTGTATTTACAGCCACTCCCCATCACTCCCGTTACCCCGTGAGCTCCGCCTCCTGTCAGATCGGCAGTGGCATTACATTATTGCAAACCCTATTGTGAACTGAGCACAAGAGGGCTCCTTATGAGAATCTAATGCCTGATGATCTGTCACTGTCTCCCATCACCCCCAGATGGGACTGTCTAATTGCAGGAAGACAAACTCAGGGCTCCCACTGATTTTACATTATGGTGAGTTGTATAATTACTGCATTATATATTACAATGTAATAATAATAGAAATAAAGTACACAATAAATATAATGTATCTAAAACATCCCCAAACCATCCCCTTCCCCCAACCTTTGTCTGCGGAGAAATGGTCTTCCACAAAACCGGTACCTGGTACCAAAAAGGCTGGGGACTGCTGGTATAGCCTATTGCCTCTAGGCAGCAAACCTGTATAGCATGTGACTGTACTGACTACCGGAGGCAATTGTAACACAATGGTAAGCATTTGTGTACCTAAACATGGAAAAGGTACAGTAAAAATATGGTATAGATGAGCCAGGTGCGGTGGCTCACGTCTGTAATCCCAGTACTTTGGGAGGCCAAGGCGGGCAGATTATGAGGTCAGGAAATCAGGACCATCCTGGCTAATATGGTGAAACCCCATCTCTACTAAAAATATAAAAAATTAGCCAGGCGTTGTGGTGGGCACCTGTAGTCCCAGCTACTCAGGAGGCTGAGGCAGGAGAATTGCTTGAATCTGGGAGGCGGAGGTTGCAATGAGCCGAGACTGTGCCACTACACTCCAGCCTGGGTGACAGAGTGAGACTCTGTCTCAAAAAAATAAATAAATAAATAAATAAATAAATAAATAAATATGGTATAGATGGCATACCTGTATAGGGCACTTACCATGAATGGAGCCTGTAGAACTGGAAGTTTCTTTCTCTGGGTGAGTCAGTGAGTGAGTGGTGTGTGAATGTGAAGGGCTAGGGCATTACTGTGTACTACCGTAGACTTTCTAAACACTGCGCACTTATGCTACACTAAATTTGTAAAACTGTTTTGCCATCTTTAGTCATGCTACATTAGTTTGCTGTAACTTTTTTACTTTATAAACTTTGAAATATTTTTAAGCTTTTTGACTCTTGTCGTAACACTCAGCTTCTAACAAACGCATTGTATAGCTGTACAAAAATGTTTTATATCCTTACACTGTAAGCTTTTTGCTGTTTTTAAATCTTTTAATTTTTACTTTTTAAACTTTTTTGTTGAAAACAAAGATACAGCCGGGTGTGGTGGCTCATGGCTGTAATCCCAGCACTTTGGGAGGCTGAGGCGGGTGGATCACCTGAGCTCAGGAGTTTGAGATGAGCCTGGCCAACATGGTGAAACTCCGTCTCTACTAAAAGTACAAAAAATAGCTGTGTGGTGGTGGGCACCTGTAATCCTAGCCACTTGGGAGGCTGAGGCAGGAGAATCGCTTGAACCTGGGAGGTGGAGGTTGCCGTGAGCCAAGATCATGCCACTGCACTCCAGCCTGGTGACCCAGCCTGGGCGACAGAGCGAGACTCCATCTCAGAAAAAAAGAAAACAAAACAAAGATACAAGTACACACTTTACTTTAGCTGAGACCCACACAGGTTCAGGATTATCAGTATCACTGTCTTCCACCTCCACTTATTTCACTGAGAGGTCTTCAGGGGCATGAACGTGCATTGATTGGAGTTAGGATAGGGAAGGCACCTCACCATAAAATAACTGTGGATCAGGATGGAAAGAACTTAGCCCACTGGCCATGTGGCGAGCCAAAAAGCTCATGTTGTTTTCACCCAATAAGAACCTATGTCTATTAAAAATCATGGCTTCAGCTTCTGTGACTACCTCTGAGAGTCCATTCAGCACATTCATTAATTATCCTCAGTATGAACAGATTTCCTCTAAAAAGCCTCCTGTCCTATTTTCTTAGCCTCAGTCTGTGCCTTCCAGTTTGTCCAATCTAGTTCCTCTCATAAATTGGTCACTATCTTGGATTTTTCCCAGCACCTGGTCTGGCTCTCCACAGTGCTGTCTTTGGTGAGCAGCTGAGGTCCTGATGGGTCACACTTAGCCGGGGGTTCTCAGAGCAGGAGGATGGGCCTCTTCTTTGGTCAGCCTGTTGGTATTGATCCCCAGGTGTTTGTTCTCTGGACATAGTCTGTGTGCTAATAAGGGAACCTCAGGTGACAGTAAATAACGGCATATTTGGTGTGCTTGAAGAGAAAGCCTAGATAGTGTTCAGAATTTTCTGCAACCACATGGAAAGGTTGTCTCTACTGCAATATTGTGATTGAGCCTATCTTCAAATGGCGTATCTCACAAAGTATGGCAGGAACCTGGAGATTAGAAAGGGAACTTTTAGAGCCGAGATGGGAGGAATGAAAACAGAGTGATGCCAAATAAAGGGATTGCTCAGGGGTGACATGAGTGGTGACTGGTCTGGGCAGGCCTGGCACAGAGGCCTGGAGTAGGAGTGGACACTCTGGCTCATGGGGACAAAGCGACTTTGGCAGAATGCATTTGAAATGAGATTTCAGGATGGTTAGTTAAGTGGTTTTCTGTATGATTTTATTAGTTTTCATCCTTCATTCCTTGTTTCTTTTTTCATTTGTCACATCACAGAAATAGTGCTAGTTGGTTTCTTGAGTACATTCGTTAGTGCTTGGGATTGTTCACAAAAGAAGCATCTGTTGGGTCAAGAGCCTTCTCAGATAACTTGTGGCTTCAAGCCCTCGATTCCACTGTGGGGATTTGAGTGTTCTCAAGTGGATTTATTGATCTTTACGGGCTCCTCTGTGGCTTTCTGGATTTCTCCAAGATTATAATCTGACCCCAAGGAAATACTGAGTAGATGAGGAGAAGAACTGGGTCAACAGAGAGTCCAGGAATGTATCAATACTGGAAAAGAAAAGAAAAAGCTCTCATTCTGTGGTAGCAGCTGAGAGCAGATTCACAAAATACTCCTCCAAAAGAGGCCCCTGATGGAAAATGTTGGTGATTGGCTCAGAATCAGTCAGAAGCACTCACTGGTATGCCTCCCAATAGTTCTAGAGCCTGGTTTCGTTGGATATTGCAAGAAAATGAATCAATAAATACATGGTGCACTGTGGGGGTAGATGGGTGGATGAATGGGTAGGAAGGTAAGTGAGTGGGTGGATGAATGAGTGAATAAATGAAGGAGATGGAGGGAGGAAAGAAGAGACCCACCAACATGTACCATGCAGAAATAGGTGTTGATGTATTTGGAGAGGGAGAGTACAACATATACAGTGAAGAGGGGTATCCTTTGGGTATCAGTTGGGAATCATTTGTCATTTCCAATAACAACAAAAAACAATTAAGTTGTTTAATGGTTTAAACAAGTAAGAACTCATTCATTTGATATGTAACGAGATCTTGGTTGTTGACACTGGTTTTGTGGTTCCATAATGTCTGTGCTCTGAATGGGCATCTCTGCAGGTCTTTTCGCCTTCTCATATTTGCAGGATGGCTGCAGGGTCTTCAACTATGAGCCAACAGTAAAATTTATCCACTTCCTAGGAACCGGTTGTTAAACATTTACTAACACACTCTGGCTCCATGTCTTGTATTTACAGCAAGTGACACATAATAGAGGCTCAGTAAATATTTTGGGGGTGGCCAGGTGTGGTGGCTCATGCCTGTAATCCCAGCGCTTGGGGAGGCCGAGGCAGGTGGATTGCTCTTGAATGCAGGAGTTCGAGACCAGCCTGGGCAACATGGTGAAAACCTGTCTCTACAAAAAATAATGTAAGTTAGCTGGGTGTGGTGGTACTTGCCTGTGGTCCCAGCTACTCAGGAGGTAGAAGGATTGCTTGAGCCTGGGAGGTCAAGGCTGCAGTGAGCTGTGATCACACCACTGTTTTTGAGCTTGGGTGACAGACTGAGATTCTGTTTCAAAACAACAGCAACAACAACAAAGAAAACAAAAGCAAACAAAAAAATTTCTGAACAAATGCACAGATGAAGTAGAGTTGCCATATGAAAATGTAATTCCCTCTGTTAAATTGGAATTTCACATAAACAATGGCCAATTTTTTTAGTATAAATATATCCTAAATATTGCAGGGCATATGTTTATGCAAAAAATTTATTATCATAAATTCAAATCTAACGGCCATCCTGTATTTTAATTTCCTAAATTCATCAACCTGAGGATATAGGAGTCATTTTATGGGAACAGATTTGAAGGCTTATCACTGTTTCCCAAAGTAAGAGGTACCTGTGACCTGTGTTGATCATACTTAAGTATATGGGGTGAGATGGAAATTGGAGTGTACATTGTGCAAGGAACTGGGACAATGTATTGGGAGGGAAACATGAATTCGGAATTAGTAGTTAGTAATGGGGAATTAACTCAAAATTAAATAAACTTGTGGATGGTTTGTAACTCTTTAGAGAAATTTCTTAGTGCTGGTTTCAGAACAGTGAAAGGAAAGCCGTTGTCAGCTGGGATCTGCCGCGTTTCCATGGAGGCCCTTTGCTCAATGATGTCTGTGATCCTGTGAGCGTGACAACTTTAGCCTAGCCTGTGCGATGCCACTGCAGTTGCAACTGGGGGCTCATCTGCTTTCCAGTCCTTGCCATGTGTTGTTTGGGGAGCTAGGGGAAGAGAATTTCTGAACTGGGAACTTGTTTGAAATACAAATGCTTGGACTCTATTTCAGAGGCAGATGCTCTGGGGGTTAGGGCCTGGCGATCCTACATTTAACCCAGCCCTCCAGAGGACCCTGATGCTGGATAAAGTTTAGGAGCCACTGCTGTAGACAGTACTAGGGGATGGGGCTATGGAAGAATGTTTGTTTTGCAGTTTAAAAGGATAGCTGCATATGCAGTGGGGGGATGAGAGTGCAGCCAGCTAGGAAGACCACTTTGAGAAAGTCACCCAGGCGTTACCCAGTATCCAGTTACCAGCCTGCCCTTAGGAACATTAATTCAAAGAAGCAGGACGACATGGATCTGTTGTACCTCTAAGAAGTATGGGAGGACTCAGTGAGCTTGGAAAAAGACCACCCTATTGGTGGTCAAAAGAGATTCATGAGTGATGTTAAGACATGAGAAACGCCTGTGGTGATAGGCAGGTAACTCTGGGTTGTAGGCCTGACCTAGCCAGTAACTTAACTGGGTGATCTCATACAACTACTTAATTTTCTCTGGACATCCATTTTTGATTGTGTAAAGTGAAGATTTTGAAGGAACGACCCTAATTCTGATTCTTTCTAGCCCAAGCTTCTCATGCAAAGGTAGGAGCCCAAAGATGGTGGAAGTGAAGCCTCCATCAATTGAGCATGGAGTTCAGATAGTCCTGCTTCTTAAATAGTCTCTTCTCCTTCCTGATTTCTTTCCACCTCTTGCCAACAAGTCCTTCTGGCAGCATGCCTCCAAAGGATATGAGAGGGGACTGCCTTTGAATTTCAGAGGACAATCTGAAGCGGGTGAGGAATGTGTCCTATGTTCATTACACACGAGGTAATCACCTGCCATCTTTCCATAACCTGAGATGGCGTAGATTGGAATTTAGGGTACATGGAGCAGAGTGGGGTTTGAATGGGTCAGAGACCTGCGTGTGGTTGCTGTTCTTTCACGCAAGTACCTGAGGCCAGTTGGGCCAAGGGAGGCCACAGGCCTGAGTGAGAACAAGTTGAGTAGCAACATAGGACCATGCCACAGTCAGTTTTACCTGAGCAGTGAAGATTATCCTGCCAATTTCTTTTGTTTTTCCTTCCTTCAATTGATTTGTTATCAAGGTAAATTTATATTACAGTTCTTAATTTGGCATTTATATGATTAAAGCAGTTATTATTTGTCATTGTCCCCAACAGATTATGTGTTGTCTTTTATCTCATTTTTGACTTTGGTCATCTAATTCTACTAAGTGAGTGTAATTATGTCCCCCAGTTTACAGATGAGGCCTCAGGCTTAGTGAGGGTAAGGAACGTCTCCATGGTACACAGCCAGAGAAGCCGAGGGTTGAACCAGCCTTATCTGCCTCTAGAGCTGGAGTTTTTTATTGCCATGCTCTTGAATGTGAGGCTGTTCTCTGAACGAGGGGCTCCTCATTTTTCCAGGCCAAGACCAGCTTTTCTCATTTCTTTGGAATTACATGATCATGTGTGTGATGGAAGAGGGGCAACATTTCTGGCCTGCTGGTCACCACAGTGGTAGGAGAGTGGGCACTTCAGCTGTAGTAGCCAACTTGGTAGGAGGGCAGGAGTCAGTCTGCATGGACCAGTTTCCAGGATGATTCTGCTTTCATTATTGACCACTGGGTACTCATTTTGTTTTATGTTATGTTATGTTATGTTATGTTATGTTATGTTATGTTATGTTATGTTACGTTATGTTACGTTATTTACTTTTTCTTTGAGACAGGGTCTTGCTGTCACCCAGGCTGGAGTGCAGCAGCACCATCCTGGCTCACTGCAGCCTCAACCTCCCAAACTCAAGTAATCCTCTCACCTCAGCCTCCTAAATAGCTGGGAACACAGGCACATGCCACCATAGCTGGCTAATATTAAATTTTTTGTAGGCACGGTGTCTCGCCATGTTGCCCACGCTGGTCTTGAACTCCTGGGGTCAAGTGATCCTCTCACCTTGGACACCCAAGGTGCTGTGATTACACATGGAAGCCACTGTGCCCAGCCCTGGGCACTCATTTTAAAATGCTGAATATCAAGGAAGAAGAGTAAACAAATACATGGATCGATCATTTATGCATTAAGAAAGTTTAACCTGAAAAAAAAAAGAGCCTACAACAGAACCACCAATTAGGTAATTAAGAGTGCCAACCTGGTTTGCTGTGTCCAGCTGTGTGTGCTGGCTTGTGTGTTTCAAATAAACCACCAGCGACCGCGGAATGAATGAATCCTGAGCTGTGATTGATGTGCTTCCCAGTAGCCAGATGTGGTTCTCTGCATTTATGTACTAGTGGAATAGCAGGGGGGATTCCTAGCGAAAGGCTGTTTAGGGATACATTTTAATGTGGTTCCAGAAGGGAGTGGAAACAGCCCTCTCATTTTTCTTTATCTGATCCTGGGGGAGCTGGGACTTTTTTTTGAAACCAACTCTATCCATTCCTTTAATGATCATCTGAACAGCCAAACCTTCTGGGACTATTATGCATAATCCTTCTCTAAGCTGAATCTATTTTCCCTCATCTGTAGATATATCTATCCCCCTACTCTTTTTAAAATAAAACTGATTAATTATAAGAAAATAGATATGAAATGAAGCACTGAGCTGCTTCTTAGCACATCTCAGCCCTTCAGTGATGGGATTTTGCTCTCAAGATGGAGAGGTCCCATAAAGGGGCAATTTTTCAGAACAAACACACAACAGATTAGCCACAGGGTAGGCAATTTAGGTACCTTTAAAAGTGTAGCTGTCGTCCTCACCGTTGACAAATACTTACCATATACCTTCTGTGAGTACAAAGATTATGCAGAGCAAATTCCTAAGGCACAGAGTCCGCACCATGGAAACATAATTTAAATTTCACTCTGGTTGAGGCTGTTGAAGAATGCTGGGGGTCAAGCTTTCTTCCCTGTGTTGTTGCCTCTGCTTTCTTTTTTAGAGACTAGTAGGTTAGTGGCTTTTCTTGCTGGCCTCAGCTTTTCATGCTACCCACATGCAGACACACACACACACACACACACACACACACACACACACACACACACACTGTACCCCTCACCCCTCAATTTCTGTGACTCTAATTACTGTTTGTTTCCTCCACTTCTCTACCCATTTCTTTCGTCTCTTGACCACTCAGAGTCAAGGAGGGGTTTCCTGATGAATTTCCATTGATGATGGAGTGGACTGTGTGACTCACCTAGTTACCCCATGGCTGGACCCACCTCATAGCCAGTGGGTTCATGGCCTCAGTGAACATGCCCCTCTTGTGCTGGTCTCCTCTAGAAGCCTTCGAGCCTGTGATCCGTCTTCTCGTGCCTGCCTGAAGGCTGTTTAGATGCTCAGTGCAGGGCCATTTCTCCCACTGAGGCTGGCATCTTTACTAGCTCAAGGCCATTCATTTCCAGTGTTAGGCCTGCAATCCAGGCTCCAGCTTCCCTGTCCGGGTAGGATTTGCCCTTTTTTTTTCCCCCATCCCCAGGGTTCCAGGGTTGTGCCAAATGGGATAGTGGTAGTGGTTAATGCTCTCCAGACTCAAACTTCCTGGGGTTGAATCTTGGCATTAGCTCTACTTGTTGGGTGGTTTGGTTGGGACAAGTTACTCCACTTTTCTGGACTTCTGCCTTTATAAAATGGCACACCACTCAATATGCAGCACACGTTAGCTCTTACCTTTATTTTCTGAAATCTGGAGAAGATAATGTCTGTTTAAAACCCGTATTTCTAGGTCAGGCACGGTGGCTCACGCCTACAGTCCCAACACTTTGGGAGGCTGATGCAAGAGGACTACTTGAGGCCGGGAGTTCAAGAGTGACCTACGCAACATAGCAAGACCCTGTCTCTGCAAAAAAAATAAAACAATAAAAATAAAAATTAGCCAAGCATAGTGGTGCTCACTTGTAGTCTCAGCTACCTGAGAGGCTGAGGAAGGAGGACTGCTGGAGTCCAGAAGTTTGAGGCTGCAGTGAGCTATGATCACACCATTGCACTCCAGCCTGGGTGATAAAGTGAGACCCCAACTCTAAAACAAACACAAACAAACTCATATTCTTACCTTTTCCCTTCTCTGTGCTCTTTCCTTTTAGTCTGGTCTCAGAGGTGTTTCTGCTCATATCATTTGGCCATAGGTAGCAGGCAGTTTTCCTGTACAGCATCCTATGTATCGGTCAGCTGTGGGCAGCTCACCTAACTTCTCTCCAGTAAGGAGGTCGGCCTCATTCCTGGTTTCCAGGGTATCCTTCAGACCCATGGTCTATTCAATATTTTAGGACACATTTGAACGAAAGTGTGAAGAATTCTAAATTGAGGCGTAGTATAGCAGAGGATTTTAACACAGGGGTTAGAACCCTTGAAAGAGACCAATCCATTCTAACCTTCGGATCTCAGTTCTTCCCTGTCTCCTATCCTGCTGCAGACCCCCTGGACGCTTCGCTCCAGCAGGTTACAAAACATGGGAGCCTGGTGGCCACCCCTTGCTCTTGCATAGCTCCCTTAGCAGGGCTCTTCTCTCTCCTGCCTTGCTTCACCTTGTTCACCTGGGGAAACTGCTGTACCTCTGTGGGATTAAGCTGGAGCTCGGTGTTTGTCACCCTACAACTGCTCCTATAACACTTGGCCCTCTCTTGCTTGCTTGGGATCTATATCCAGCACAGTGCCTCGTACACAGTAGGGGCACAATAAATGATGAGCGAATGATTTCTTACGTAAAGATTTGGGACAGTTTACTACCAAAGGTCTTCTGCAGCTGTGTCATTTGTTGCTTTGGAAATTTCTAAGTTTTAACTGGTCTTTTGAGAAAAAACATCATACAGCATTTATCGTGTACTCTAATGCCCCTTTTTCAAAGTAATGACTTCCCATTGAAATGTGCCCCTGGTTTTAAAGAATTTTGCCATTTCCTTCTCTAATGTGTAGGACGACTCCGTTACACTTGGATCGATGTACCTGCCATTGTGGTGATCTTGATTTATTCTACTCAAATGACAGCAGAGCTGTTGGAATGTTATGAATTCCTTAGGAATTTGCATCATTCTATTCCTCTGCTCAGAAAAATCAAATGAGTGCCTTGTGCCCATTGTGTCCAGTCTAAATGCCTCTGATTAAAAGAACCTTTTGTGGTCCCCCAGGAACTCTCTGCACCTGCTGCTGTCATTTCCATTCTCCTTTCTTCAGCCAGCCAGGGACGAGTTGTTCCTTTCCCCTTGACACACAGTATGGCTTCTGAGCCTTCCTTGCCACTGTCTTCCTAACTTGTTCAGCTCCCTGGCTGGTTCATCACCATGATCATGCATTAGACCATGACCTAGCCATTTTCTGGGGCCAATTCTTCCAGTTTTCATTTTTAATTTGATTCTTTGATTCACTGGTTCAGTCTCTTCTGAGAAGACGTTAGTCTTTAAAACCTTTCCCCAGACTGCTTATTCCTCAAAGGCTTAACACCGAATACAATTTGTATTACATTATTCTGCATTCTTAAGTTTTGTTTTTTTTTTTCAATCTCCTTGAATTGCTTGTAACTGCCTTGCTGTCATGAGCTATTGTCTTCTGCTTCTTTGGAAAGTGCCCAGGGTAGTTCTTTGCTCGTATAGCTACTCAAACAGACATTTGTTGAACGGCAGTAGCATTTTCCAAGTGGGAACATAGACAACAGGGACAGTGGAATTATACGGTGATGATGAAGTTTTCCTTTTTTTTTTTTTTTTTTTTTCTGCCTAGCAAAGGTCTGATGAGAGAGGAAAGTACATCAAAGTAGCATTGGCCAGCTGAGCGTGGTGGCTCACGCCTGTAATCCCAGCACTTTGAGAGGCCGAGGCGGGCAGATCACCTGAGGTCAGGAGTTTGAGACCAGCCTGGCTAACATGGCAAAACCCCCGTCTGTACAAAAAATATAAAAATTAGCTGGGCTTGGTGGCGCATGCCTGTAATCCCAGCTACTCGGGAGGCTGAGGCAGGAGAATGGTGTGAACCCGGGAGGTGGAGCTTGCAGTGAGCTGAGATCGCGCCACTGCACTCCAGCCTGGGTGACAGAGCAAGACTCCGTCTCAAAAAAAAAAAAAAAGAATTAAAGAATTAAAATGGAGAGTAGGTACCTCTAAACAACCACGCCACCTGGACCACCCTGA